>NC_000023.11:32287844-32438201 GCF_000001405.40 Homo sapiens
AAGTCCAGTGACTTTGACATGTTCAAATTCAATAGGTAAATCACAGACCTCATCCTGAGAGAGTGGATCGCTCCCTACATCTTAAAACTGCCTTCATTTGGCTTCTGTATCCTGACCTCTTCTGCTTTCCTTTGCTGGATCCTTCTCATCCTGATCTTAATATTAGAGTGCTCTGACTCAGTATTTGCACTTCTTTTCTTCTCTGTCCATAATCCATCCCATTTGTTCTCATAATTTTAAATATCTTATATAAGACAATGACACCCAAATGTGTATCTCAAGCCCGGACATCTCCTCCGAACTCCAGTCTAACAAATGCTAATTTCTCAACACTTGGAGGTCTCACGAGACTTTCAAACTTAATATGACGCAAACAAAATTCTGAACTGCATTTCCTAATCCTTCTCATCCCATAGATTCCCTCATTTCAGTAAATGGCAATTACTGATTTCAATTGAATTATAGTAATTCAATTAACAATTACTCAGATTGACAACTTTGGAGCCATCCTTAATTTTTTCAGTCTCCAGTATTCAAATTATTGGGCAAATGTTTTGGCTTGACTTTCAGGACATATGCAGAATTTGACTGCTTCTCACTACCTTTCTTGCTACAGATCTGATAGAAGCTATTATTGTCTCTCATCTGGGTTATAGAACTACCTATCTAAATGGTCCTCTTGCTTCCGCTCTTTCCCCCCTACTGGATAATTCTCCACACAAGAGCCGAAAAGATTCTTTTAAAACATAATTGGGATCATATCACTCCTCTGCTCAAAATCTTCTGGTGGCTCTTCATCACAGAGTTCAATCACAGCCAATTTCAAAAGCCTACATGAAAAATAATTATTCTTGCAACACTTTATACAAATAATCAGGCCAAGTATAATAAAGCAAATCAGTCCTATGATGATCCATCTTTAGTAAAAATGGGAGACTGGAGAGAGAAAAAAATTATGTTTTAAGAACTATGGTACACCTGTTATTAGTCTCGTCAGCTGTTTTTGAGTTTTTTCCTGCAATATAGACTGATCCTGCTTATTCCTGTGAACCTGCCAGTGATCTCTGACTGCACCTCAGAAGAAACAAGAAGGATGGGTAATATAAAAACCTGGATCAGTATTCTAATTCTGGGCATGTATTGGAATCAGCTAGCAGCCCCACATCACTTTGGTTCCAACAGCTGCCCAGTTCACGGAAAGCCTTCTAATTTAGTTTACTTGGGATAATTTTACTTATTGTGTTTTACTGTTGTGGAATATATTTGCTGTTTTACTTTTTGTATAGGAATGCAGAATAAGCTTACTCAATGTTTTCTTAGATTGAAAACTTACTAATCTTCCAGATATCACCATTTATCAGTTATGA
Organism: Homo sapiens; assembly: GCF_000001405.40. Classification (NCBI taxonomy): domain Eukaryota; kingdom Metazoa; phylum Chordata; class Mammalia; order Primates; family Hominidae; genus Homo; species Homo sapiens. Next base: position 32,289,212 of record NC_000023.11, read on the forward strand.
ATGGCCCTCACCAAGCTGATGCTTGCTGACTGAGCTCCTCTCTACCCTGAATACAAGAGACCCTAATAGTTAGGCAGAAATATCATCACCCATATTCAGCCTGAAGAAGTTACAGAAGATGTATTACCCTTCTACTACTTAATCCTAAGGGTAACTCTACTACCCTTAGGATTAAGGGTTCCCTTGTAAAAGAAAGAGGGGAAATATGTCAGAGGCGTTCGAACTAGAACAACTCCATCTTGAATAGGGGCTGGGTAAAATAAGGCTGAGACCTACTGGGCTGCATTCCCAGGAGGTTGGGCATTCTTAGTCACAGGATGAGATAAGAGGCCAGAACAAGATACGGGTCACAAAGACCTTGCTGATAAAGCAGGTTGCTGTAAATAAGCTAGTCAAAACCCACCAAAACCAAGCTGGTGAAAAAAGTGACCTCTGGTCCTTCTCACTGCTCATTATACACTAATTATAATGCATTAGCAGGCTAAAAGACACTCCTAGCAGTGCCATGACAGGTTACAAATGCATGGCAATGTCAAGAAGTTACCCAATATGGTCTAAAATGGGAGAAACCCTCAGTTCTAGGAATTGCTGACTCCTTTTCCCAGAAAACTCATGAATAATCCACCCCTTGTTTAGCATATAATCAAGAAATAACTACAAGTATCCTGAGTCAAGCAGCCCATGCCACTGCACTGCCTACGGAGTGGCCATTCTTTATTCCTTTACTTTCTTAATAAACTTGCTTTTACTTTTTTTAAAAAAGCATAATCTTCACTATGACCTATAAATCTCTACATGACTTGGTTGTATACTACCTACCATTCCAAGCTCATCTCTTCCCAGTCTCTTCATAGTCCACAACACTTCACCCTCATTAGGTTTATTGCATTACTTGAGTATAACAACTACATTCTTGCTTCAAGATTTCTGCCCTTGCTGTTCTACCTGCCAAAAATAGTTTTCCTAACCCACATTTCTATCAGTGGTTCCCTTACTTCTTTCTCACGTTAAAGGGGCCTTCTCTACTACTCTATTTTAAATAGCACCAGCAATCACTCTTTATTCCTGGCATTACTCTTCCCTTTTCTTTATAGTACTTATTACTAACATTAAAATATATATCAAGTAGCCGGTATATACCACTAATTTGAAATCTATGACTACAGGGATGTTGTTATCTGTTGGGCTTCCAAAGCTCAAACCTGTGCTTGGCACATGATAGATGGCAAAAGCTTTTTTGTTGAATAAATGAATAGATGGTCCCATAAATTTAATCCATAATGTTTTGTTTATATTCTATTTAACGGAAAAATCACAAACCACAAATGGGTTATACGGGAAGAAAGAAAAATCTAAACATATTTATTCTCAATAAATTTGCTAAAAACTACATTCTGGCTATTCTTCCTAGTACGAATTTTGTTATTTTGATCATCTAAATTATACATAAGGTCCACTGAGCAAAATTTATTGAGTTCTTCCCATGTGTAAGGAGCAATATAGCAGAAACAAAGGTGGGTGAAACACAGTTTAGTTTGCCTTTAAGAAGTTTTAAGTAGGTTTTATTGTAGTAGTAAGAAAGGATATGGTTTGAAGAATTGAAGAAAAAAATCCAAGTATAGAAGCCTTAGCTGGATGAGAAGAAGGAAGAAATGAGTGTTCCAAGTGGTACCAAACATTTTCTAGAAGTTAGAGAAAACATGTATCATATATTTGGTCATAGGCTCAGGAAAGAATTCACGAAGAAGGTGCAAATTGCAGTAGACATATCTGAGTAGTAGAAGTGGGAAGAACATTAGAGCTAGTAGGTAACACACACGCAAAGCTAGGTAACAAGCGCAGTCATATTTGGCTGCCTTTTCAGTAACATAGAAGCTTAGGGGAAGATGGGGCATGAAACAGAGGCTGAGGATGTTCAATAATGTGCTTTGAATCTCAACAGAAAATTCTGCCTGTACTTCAGTAGCTAATGGGGAACTATGATTTTTAAAAAGTTATCATTATGTAAGATTTCAAATATATTTGAAAGTAGGAAAATAATACAAATAGCTCCCATAACCCTATAATCCAGTGCCAACTGTTATGACTCCATGGACAATCCACCCACTCACCTCTTCAACTAGATTATTCTGAAACAAACTGATATATTATTTTCTCCATAAATACTTCAGCATTTTTCTCTTGCTGAAATATTCTCTCATGAGAACTTTTTTCGGAAAGTACATATATAATACCATTAACACACCTACAGTCTTAACAAAAGTTCATTAATTGAATCAAGTATCTAGTTGCTATTCACATTTGAGCTGAAGTGGGAAGGAAGTTTAGGAAAACAGCTCAGCAGAATTCAGTGACTGTGTGTTGGGTGAAGAAGAGGAAGAACTTGAATGAGTCTTAGGTATCTGGCCTGGGCATCCACATGATTTGTGGTGTCATTGGGTAACAGGATTTCAGACAGATGAAGAGGTTCCATGGTTACATGCTTGTGTATGTGTGCATAAGTGATCAGTTCAATTTTGGACATGGTCATTCTGAAAAGCCTTTGAGGCATCAAACTGTAGATGTTCCAGAGGCAGTTGAAATCAGATTTTGAGAAGAGGAGTAAGATGGCAGGGATTGCTGAGCCATACATATTTTCACATTTGGATACATGGACTAGGCTTTCTGAGCAAAGAGTTGTAGTAACTGTCTTAAAGGGTGACTGAATGGCAAGCGTACCTTGGAGTTTAGTGCATTGCTCTGGAGAGATTTAAAAACTTTTATCTCCAAGAGCCCTTTGATTACATTTCAACTTATATTCCAAAAATAATAGACCTAGATCATTGGTTTATAGCCCAGAGCAAAGTCTCTGTCTTCCTGTATGTCTGTCTCTCTCACTTTCTCTCCTCCTGATACATCAGGTGCTCTATATAATCTCCAAGATCCACAATTCTGGGATTTCTCTCCTGTACTACAACCCCTGCACTCACAGATAAACATCTTGCCCTGAGATGCTTTTGAGTAATTAATGATGTATTCTCTCATCCAGAGATCTTATGTTTCCTGACTAGATAAATATAAATTTTAACAAATATCAACAAAGGGAATATTCTTTTTTTTTTTTTTTTGAGATGGAGTCTAGCTCTGTCACCCAGGCTGGAGTGCAGTGGTCTGATCTAGGCTCACTGCAAGCTCCGCCTCCCGGGTTTACTTACACCATTCTCTTGCCTCAGCCTCCTCCCGAGTAGCTGGGACTATAGGCGCCCACCACCACGCCTGGCTAATTTTTTGTATCTTTAGTAGAGACGGGGTTTCACCGTGTTAGCCAGGATGGTCTCGATCTCCTGACCTCGTGATCCACCCGCCTCAGCCTCCCAAAACAAAGGGAATATTCTTGCCTATTTTCAGTCAAAATTGGGAAGCATTTTAATCATTTGTAAGTTGGAGACTGTGTTAGATAGGGAGTGACTGCTGCTGATCGTACAGCTTTCCAGATGACGGGCTCTGAAGAAAACTTCACAATCAGAGAGGGAAACAGGAAAGAAGTTAACAATAAAACTTAGAGGATTTTCTGCCTTATTCTAAGATTTCACGTTTGTGGTCCACGAGGACTTGCCTTGAGCAAGAACTAAGCTGAAGAGGCAGGTGAGACTACAGATAATGTCAGTTGTAAAAGGTAAAAGTCAATGCTTACAATGGGAACCTTATAAAAAGCAACTGTGTTCTCGTGTCTTATTTATCAGCTCAGCAACAGGATAAGATACAATGGTTATGGGTGATGTGAGTGAATTTCAGAGAAAGAAGGTGTTTTTAAAATAAAATTTCAAGGCATTCTCTTCCAGTCTATGTACACCTTGTGATGGAAAGCTTTCATTATTTCTTTTGTTTCGCACCTCAATTTAACTCTGTGGAAAAAGTACTTATCTGACAGGTCAGGTATTACCATACAAAAGAAAGAACAAGCCAACACAGAAACAATCTGAGAATTTACTTATCTGGAGGAATGCAGGTTAAAACTGTCTTTTAGCAATTTCACATAGAGAATTGATAGTCATTGGAATGTGTGTGATGTTGAATAAGACTAGGGATGGTCAGATTGCTCAGGAAAGGTGTTTAGGGTGAAAAGAGTGAGAAGAAAGGTAGCATAAAGATGAACCTATGTGGAAAGCATGGGCAGAGGAAGGAGATGAGTATCCCTAAAGAATAATAGTCATCAGACCCAGGAAGAGAACCAGAAGGAGGGAGGGAGTTGTCAACAAGTCAGATGCAGCCAGGACCAGGAGGGAAAAGTCAGCTCGGGCAATTTAGGAGGTCATTGGTGATCTTATCGAGAGCAACAACAGCATGTTGGAAGTGGAAAACATAAATGTAGGCAGACCAGACTGTCTTTTGCTGTCATCATCTTTCACTATAAAATAGAAAATAGCTTTGTACGACATTGCAGTATGCTGTATTTGACATCAGAGGCTTGCTTATTGAAGAAAAGTTTCATATTGATAAAAACAAAACTCATAATAAAACAGAAACTGTTGGATACTATGCTCACTGCCTGGGTGATGGGGTCATTCATATCCCAAATCTCAGCATCAAACAATATATCCATGTAACAAACCTGCACATGTATTCCTGAATCTAAAATACACTTGAAATTATAATAAAAGAGATACAATGGATGTAATACCTGTTATTAATGCCCTAAAAGCCATTGAACTCAAGCGTATCTCTAGTATTATTTCTTTACTTTTATTTACCTGGTAGAATTTTACTACCATCTTCTGATGGCTCCAAGCCTGGAGTCTTGGGTGGAATGTTTAGGGCTACTCCGCTAGCCTGATTAGGTCAGGTACCAGAAACGTGCACCAACATATCTTCTTGGCTGCTTCTGTTAACTTGCCTGACCTGGGCAGCCTGATTTCACAAGTACTTGATTCAACTCTGAATTCTTTTAAGTCACTGTCTCCATCATTCTTGCTTGGCTGCCAGTCCAATGGCAAAGATACATAACTCTGCCAAGTCCTCCACCTGATACCAAGACTCCAGCTGAATGAAAGGCTGATTACTTAAATTCACATTGGGCAACCAATCACATTTGTTAGTACATAGCAGGCCCAAACCCTTTAAATGCATAGCTGTAAGCACCCATGGAGAAAAACATTCAAGGGAAGAGATAAAGGATCTTCCCCATCAGCATATAAAAGTTATCCAGTTATGGCTTTGATATGGTATGCGTGTGTTTGTGCGTATGTGTGTGTATGTATACTCTCTGAGGATTTGAGCTTGCAAAGCTTCCTGATTTTAATCTGAGTCTCTGGGGAGCTACCAATTCTTTGGAATGCTGTAGCATTGCTCAGCATCAAGTTATGAACGGTTTTAGCAATGCTGTACAGCATGTTACTAACGCGGGAAAACTTTCTATCTTAAAGGAGAAAAGCAAAAAGCAAAAACTGGGGCAGGGGATGTCACACTCCCTGGATATCTAGATAATAGCTCCTTGGTGCATTCTCAGAGAATGCTGTCAAAATTGGCTGGAGTCCAGGAAATACATCCTTTTTAAAGTCCCTGCACATATTCGTGTCCTCAAGGCACTGCACACAGAAAAATGGTATGTGCACCAAAGAAAATGCTGTAGCACTTTCCATAGTTTAAAGTCAGAGATGAGATCTCTGATAGTATTTTACTATTTTAGTTTGTCTAGAAATAAGTGATCTTTATAGTTTCTGACCCTCTAAAAAGGAAGCCATAGTCCCTTGTAGTTGCTATGGCGATATAAACATCCCTAGAATCACTATAGAATATAGCATTTCTATTTCTCTCCCTGAATAGTTCCTTATCTTATCTGAAAATATGATGTCAAAATGATAAAGTACCAACTTTTTAGTCAAATCCCTTCTTAATTTTGACATGCCCCTATGAATTGACCACTTCACTATTCCGCTGAAATTCTGTAAGATGTTTATTTTTGGCCACTCTTTCTGCAAAAGGAAATTCTAAATATACATACAAATGGAATTTTAATTTCTGAAAGGCATCTGTACACGAATTTATACAACTCGAGTCCTTAATATTTTAAAATAGGATATTTGCATCTCTGATTCACAGTCTCCAATAAGTTAAAGAAGACCCTGATTATGCACTGTGAATAGAGAAAAATTAGATAGCACAGTAACTTTTACAACCGGCAGATGAAATCCAGATACCTAAAGTAAGGAAAAGCAGAAATCTATAAGCCATGTGGCTTCAATTCATTTATCTGTTTGAAAAGCTTATTGTTTAAATAAGTGTTTATTGATAATACAGACATAATATCAGCCTCAAATGTGAGATATGAAAATAAAGACTTTAAAATGTGAGTCTCTCCCTTAAGAAGATAATTGGTTTTTAAAGGAGACACATACAGAAATAATTTGAACATAAAAATGCTTTGTTTATTCAAGTGTTGTGGAGTATGTGTCTTTAACAGGATAAAAGGAGAAGCCAGAGAATACAGAAAATTTATCTAGGAAACAAACAAGGGACCTATTTGCCAACTAATCAGTTTAAGATAAAGGTATGAAGCAACCCTTAACTATGCTCCATTCTTTATCATAAGGGATAGACTTCTACTGTTTAGTTTTTCTTCCATTTAATGTAAAGTGACAACTACTCCCTTGCTGTCAAAGATTTTCATTGCAGAGCCTGCCTTTACCATCTAAATGGTAAACTTATGTGTATAAATGTCAAAGTAGATATTGCAGAACCTGAAGAGAACTAGAGTAGGGGAGAGTAATATCTGACAAATTGAACTTACTGTTAATCACTTTTGATGAAAGTAAACTTAAAATAATTTACTGAAGTTTTAAATATATTTTTGTACCTATAGCAAAGCTCGTTGCTTCCCGAATACTGTGAAAAGTGCCAAAGTTCTATTATTTAAAATAGCAGCCGGGCGCGGTGGCTCACGCCTGTAATCCCAGCACTTTGGGAGGCCGAGGTAGGTGGATCACTTTAGGACAGGAGTTCGAGACCAGCCTGACCAACATGTGAAACCCTGTCTCTACTAAAAATACAAACATTCACCAGGTGTGGCGGTGGGCGCCTGTAATCCCAGCTACTTGGGAGGCTAAGGTAGGAGAATCACTTGACCCCAGGAAGCGGAGGTTGCAGTGAGCCGAGACTGTGCCACCGCACTCCAGCCTGGGCAACAAGAGTGAAACTCTGTCTCAATAAACAATTAAACAAACAAACAAACATCACTTCCTCTGTCCCGTCTCTGTGGTCATTCAATTCAGCCATTTCTTCATCTTCAACATCCAATTACTAAATAAGGATGTCTATAATTTACAAGTGTCTTTGCTCCCTTATTTCATACCTAGAAATAAGCTCACATATACCTTCACAAATCTACAACTCTTTCCAAGATTTTAAATAATATGTCCACTGTGGGATGTATATACAAACATTAATTGGCTAATTTGTCTTCTGTTTAACAGTTTTTCCTCAGTAATAAAATTTTACATCAGAAGTTGTGAGTGTTCTCTCAGTCAAAAATTTCAATTAGAAAAAAGTCTTCAAATGAAATAAAATTTCAAATGTATAAAAGCATAAGTTAAAATATAAGATAATATGAAATTGTTGTTTCAGGGCATTTTCCCCTGAAAATGACTTCAGTATTTCGATGATATTCTGGTTTGAAATATATTGAACTTTATTTTTTAAAAGAAGTGATAAAATTGCTTTCTAATGGTTTCTCAGTTTTCATTTCTCTGAAGGACTAACATTAGCAGACAGCTGGAAGCACTTATAATTCACATTTTTAACCATATTTATTTCCTGAAGGAAATTCCTATTCACTCACTTAGTAATAGCTTCCCCATTTCATCTTTCCCTCCTTGGCAGGATTCAGTACAGTTAGGCACAGTTTTCATCATACAGACCTAGCCACACTAGTTTTAACTAGTAATACTATCTTCTAGGTTTCTCTCTCTGTGTCTGACAGCTACATCGCTGTATTCATTCATTAACTCAAGAAATATTTGTTGAAAAAACCTACCATGAGACAGTCATATTTTATTTATTTATTTATTTATTTATTTATTTATTTATTATTTATTTATTTATTTTGGAGACAGAGTCTCACTCTGTCACCCAGGCTGGAATGCAGTGGCGCAATCTCTGTTCACTGCAACCTCCACCTCCCAGGTTCAAGCAATTCTCCTGCCTCAGCCTCCCGAGTAGCTGGGATTACAGGCGCCCGCCACCATGCCCGGCTAATTTTTTGTATTTTTAGTAGAGATCGGGTTCCATTACGTTGGCCAGGCTGGTATTGAACTCCTGACCCTGTGGTCACCCGCCTTGGCCTCCCAAAGTGCTGGGATTACAGGCGTGAGCCACCGCGCCCAGCCTGAGACAGTCATATATTATATCTTGGGTATATACTAGTGATCCAGAAAGCAAAAGCCCCGCTCTCTGGAATCTCACCTTCTACAGGAGAATAAAGTAAACAAATAGAGAAATGACTAAACTATATACTCAGTTAGATAGTGGTTAAGTGCTGAGGAGCAAAACTAAAGCAGGGAAGGAAGAAATGAAGGATAAAGTGGGGGTCAGAATTTTAGGTAAGAGGGGTCGGGGAAGACCTTACCAGGAAGGCAGTTTTTAAGTAAAGATCTGAAGGAAATGCAGAAATTAACCATTGAAAGAAAAATCATGAGAATAATATTCCAGACAGGTAAAGCAAGTATAAGGGCCCTGACACTGGAATGTGCCTGGAGGAGTGGCCAAGGAACATGGAGGAAGTGATTATGGCTGGAGTGTATGAGCTAGCGACTACCAGAGAAATATCAGAGAATGGGGTGGGTAACCCATGAAGGTACTTATGAACATAAGGACTTCCCTGTTTACTTTGAGGGGGATGGGGAGCATTGGGGGTTTTGAACAGAAGCAGAAAGGGGGATATAATCTGACTTTCCATTTAAATAGGTATCTCTGGCTAGTATATTGACAGTAGAGTCTACAGGGGAGAAGGCAATGAGGGGGAAACTTGTTAATAGACAACTGCAATCATCCATGCTGGAGATGATGGTGCTTTGGATCAGAGTGGAGGCAGGGTTGAATTCCGGATACATTGTAAAGGCAGAATCCTTAGGATTTGGTGGCCAATTACATGTGTGTTGGTAGAGAAAGGCCTTAAGGATAACATGAAGAATTTTGGCACAGACAAGTGGAATAATGGAGTTGCCATTAACTATAGTGTAGAAAACTGCAGGAGGATAAGGTTAGGGTGTAAGATTTTAACATGCTAAATTTAAGATGTTTATTATACTTCTAAGTGAATATATAAAAGGCATATATATATATGTCATGATTCAGGAGAGGAATCTTGACTAGAGATATAAATTTGAGAGTCACTAGGGGTAATTTTTAATCTCTTCCAAACTTGCTCAGAAAATACTGATGTTTTGCTATATTCCCTTTCCAGACCTCTTTTCTTCCAAACCCAACCCTGTAGACAATCTTAGCCATTTCTATCACTTAAATCAAACTTTGACACAAAGGAATTTTATTTAGGGGAGGTGGGAAAGGGGATAAGAAAAATGTCAAGTTGGGAGCATAGATTCACTGCTGCTGGGGCCCAACAGAGAAGGCACCCAGCAGGAGGAGGGAGTTAGCCCTTTGATGGTTGATTCTGCTTAAGGCTACATCAAGGTGTTTTGGGGATAACAGAAATCGAAGAAGCTAGAAGAAAGTACAGGGAAAAAATTCAAGTCTACAGGTTGGTAGACAGTCAGAGACTCTTGGTTCTGTTGCCATGGTGGGATTATATACACCTTCCAGAAAACCTTTCCTTAACCAATCAGAGTATTTATTTAACTAGATAGAAATATGTATCGGGAAATCCAGTCCACATTTTGCACTAACACAGGAAAATGGGTGATCTAGGATGTTGGGCATCTCCTGAGTGAACTTTAATAATGAGAGTCCTGGTACAGCTACTGAATCAAGGGTATGGTTTATAAATCGGTCCAGCTATGCTGAACACAAATATCTCCTTACTTATTGTTTTATCTCTTTATTTTTCCTTGTGTCCAATTTATCCTGCCATTTTAAGGATTATCCCTGACCAAAATCCATCCATGATGACATATAGCTTTTTGGACACTTTCAAGCCCATCTTTTAGCCCATCTTTTTTTCCAGGAAAAAAAAGAAAAAACTGGATTCACAGTTTTTATCCAACTTGATTTCCTAGTGCTTTGCCAGCAGAGACACTTGAAAGGATAATCAAAGTGAATAACAAAGTGAAGGATTAATCTCTTTGTTATTCTTCAGACACATCCTTCTGATACAATTTTTTTTTTTTTTACCCTTACTGACTTTGTATCTTTAACTTTGAAAACATTTTCTGCATCAAGAAACTGTATAGCGTAGTGCTTAAGAGCAGAAACTCTGGAGCTTGAACATCCAGAGTGGGACTTCAACTATGATATTTAAAAATGATCTCACCTGAGCAAGTCACTTAACTGCTCAGGACCTCCGTTTCTCCATCTGAGTATGGGTATAATAATACAGCCTTCCTTGTAGGGCTGTTATGATGACCATACAAGTTACTCTAAGTGTTTAGAATGTGTCCTGGCACAAAAATAATAACTGTCAGCTATTACATTCAAGATTAGTCCAGATTCCAGTTATATTCACACCTCAAGCTAAGGATTCCTCCTCTATAAAATTCCTCCTAGTTTCTGCTTTTTGTGCTGCTTTCTTCTTTTCATGATTTCAGTTACACTCATGTCTTATATATTTTTGCTTGGATGATGTCCTTAATGTCTTTATTACTCTCTAACTTGTTTGTATAACTATAATATGTATATTCAATAATGTTATCAACTACCAGAGTACAAGGATTATTCCTTAATATTTCTTTCTTATCTTTTAGAATGTTAAGCATAGCACTTGTAGCATTAATAAATATCTGTTGACTTGAAGTAAAAAGTTGAGTTGAACTTGCTTATGAAAATCCAATTTGAATTCAATCATTGAACCTCTAAGATTTGTTACTCTGTTCAACCATTGTAGATAGATATTCAGGTATGGTCAGACGTGAGCTATTCAGGTAATTCCTTGTTTATTCTACTTTACTTTTACAAGACATTAGCTGTTGAACAGTGGAATAGAAGTCCACATGCATTTCCTGGCTGAGTTTCCTTATGGTTTCCTCACAGCACATTAGATATCTAAGAAAAAAGTCCTTTATTCAGAATTACACCTGCCCATTTCTCCAGATGCCACAGAGCATCAACAAGAACAAAAAGAACAACAAAAAAAACCCTGCACTTTACTGATCCAAGTGTTTCTCAGATAAAATGATTCTAGTCCATCAGCACTAAGTAAATTGAAAACAATTTTACCAGTCCTTTTATGATACGTACATTTTGTGTTAAGTTGTACACATCGCCTAAATCATTTTACAGAAAATCCAAATAGAAAAATTGACTCACATGCATGGCAAAGGGGGTTTTATAGAAGTAAGTACTTTTCTCTTAGTTCAAAATATATGGCATTCTATGATCCCAAATTTCTTAGAGTCAGGATACGCTTTAGTGTTGTGTGACTCAGCAGAGGAGGGCCAGGTAGGTTTTATGGAGGAAAAATTCCAAAGCAATACAACAATCCAAGAAAACCTCAAAAACTGATGATCACCAATGAATGGAATATGCTTTTTTAAAATTCATGTTATACTTTTTAATTCTATTTACATATGCAATCATGAGCATCTTATTATTTTGATAAATGAAAATTTAGTATAAATGATTAAGCAACTTCATAGGTAGCTACCATACATGATAAAATATAATCAAACCTGCAAAAATTAATATTGATGACAGTAAACTATTTTGGTAAAACAGAAAACATATTTGGTAATATTATGCCCGTTTTATATATAACTAATACTTCTGATGTTGGGGAAATGTGCTTTCCATCATATTGTTTTACACAGGGGACAGAAAAGCAAAATCGCTCTTTCATACAATTGTTCTGTACCCAAATGCATACATCTAAAAAAAAAAAAAAAAGAAAGAAAAGAAATAAACAAAAGGCATGATATGGGAGCAGGAAGCTAACACTCTACTCAATGTTTACCTTTTTGGAAGCTCCATAGATTTCCTTACTGATAACACTATTTAATTTTTGCCTGTGGTTTGGCAAATTAAATTTGGGAATTGGTGTCTGTTAATCATACGTGATTTACAACAGAAAGTTCTTGTTTTTTTTCCATCAGGATGTTTAATGATATATATTAATATTCAGAAATAAGCAGACTTGGGTACAAGTCATTGTATTAAACTATAAGATATTGCCAATATTTAAACCTTTTGAAAGACTTGACAATTCATAAGGTTCAATGGAATAGCATTATAATTTTAATATGTTCATGGTTACAAATTTAACCAGGAGAAAATAAATACAAACTAACTTTTTTAAATGGCAAAGGAAAGACAACAAAAAATAAACAACAAAAGCAAATTTCAAGACTCCAAAGCAAAAAAGAGAAAAAAACACTACTGATTAAATCATTCTTTGCTTAGAGTTTCAATATTTTTCAATAATTTTTGTCATGGTTCTGAACTCACAATTAGAACAATGGGTTTTAAGTTACTGAACTAGAAATGGAAAAAATAAATCAACACATTTCATAAAGAAACTAAAGCCCAAAATAAAACAACAATTAAAACCAAGCTAGAAAACAGCATCCTCTTCTTGGTAAAAGTTATGGTACACAGAATCTTGGAATAATTTAGAGTTGCATTTCTGCACCTCAAGATAAATATACAATAAAGTGAGTTATTTGTTTTATACCTTAAATAAATAGAAGAATAAAAAAATTACTCCTGAATAAGTAACAACTAGCCTCGGAAATACACATGGCCCCCGTCTTATAATGTTTCTACTTAGTGATTTTTCAACTTTAGGGTGGTGAGAAAGTGATATACATTCATTCGAAACCATACTTCAGTATAGTATTCACTAAATTGAATGAGATATTCAACACTTTACTATAAAATAGGTCTTGTGTTCTATGACTTTGCGCAACTGTAGGTTAACATAGGTGTTCAGAGCATGTTTAAGGTAAGCTAGGCTAAACCATGATATTTGGTGGGTTAAGTGTATTGAATGCATTTCCGCATACAAAATTCTCAACTTACAATGGGTTTATCTGGATATAACCCCATCACAAGTCAAGGAACATTCTGTACAATAGAAGAATATGATCAAAAGTTTGTAAGATCCTCTAAGGAAGATTTTGTCAAAAGCAAACGTGGCTTAGCTTGTATGTATTCTCTTATTTTAAAGTTTTTTTAGCTTTAGAATATTTGCCACATCTGGAAATAACTTTACGTATATTTTATGTGGTTAACATTTTATTTACAGTTTTTTAAGATATAAATATGCAATTTTATAATGTTTAACACATTCTTAAAGGTAATTTGTTTTTAGGATACTTTACGTGGAAATTTATAACTTTCTTAGAATTTGGGATGTTTGATGAAGCAATATGCATTTTACAAATCTTGAAATTTATATAATTATACATTTTAACAGGAATTTTCCTACACAGTCGTACATGATTTCACTGTATCTTCACAAGAGTACAGTTGAGTAGGCAGGGGCAGTTATTATCACTGATTTAATTTCAACGTTAAAAAACAGGCCTAAATATCTTATGTTACTTGCCCAAGGGTACAACTATCAACAATCAGGTTAAATCTTTCTAAGCTTTTCAGGTTCCAATACAGTACTTTGCTAAACTCTCTACTCTACTGCTTATCATAACCACATAATGAAAGCTCACTGATGTGGAAAAATGTTAGTAATGTTTTAATTATATGTGGGTTCCCTGTCACACATTTTCATAAATGATTGTTTTAGATTCAGTATATACAAACCTAGAACAATTTCTTCATGCTTATATGCATATAGATTTGTAGAATGCACATGTCTAGATGATTTAACTCAGTGAGTTAGGATACAATATAAAAAGAAGTAAATTTGGTTTTCTCTTTTAGTACCAGCGCTTACTAACACTGCCCTGTCTTCTTCTATCTCAGAGTCCACACCTACATGTATCAGACCATCACTCACTAATTCAACAGATGTACATTCAGTACCTTTAAGTGCTAGGTGCTGTTCTAGGAGTTCTAGATACAGTGGTGGAGGAAAAAAACAACAAACAAGATACTAATTTTTCTTCCTGGTGGCTGTGTGTATGTATCACCTTCTTGAAAAATGTAGCACTGCAGTTACATGGGTTATACATATACTTAAATGCATGTATAGTGTTTATAGACTTATAAAACTCTAGGCACTATTGTCGTCATATTTTGGGAAGGTGAAAATAATAGCTTTAAGCAGTTTTAGGTATCAGAAATGCCTTGAGACACTTTGTAACTTGGTTAACAGAGGAGCACATAACTTTCATTTCTAAGAAAAAAGGATTAGAAAAACCCATTAGTAACTGTTGTGACAGCGGCCGTTGGGGAGTAGATCTATCTTAAAATGGAAAAAGAGAAATAAGAGAACCAAAGACTCAAACTCCAGTTCATTTTCACTCTCTGGAATTTGTCTTTATCTGACAGATAAAGGCAACACCCTATATAAATCTAATTCTTACACTCTTCACATCCCATCCAGCTACCAGGCACTACATTAATGACATATCGAATTGGGAACTGTGTTCAATCAAAAGGCATTAAAGTACTTATTAACTAGGTTTTACGGAGCTTCCAAAAAAAGTTAAAAAGTTATTTTTGGTGGCTCTATGGTAAGGTGACCTTTTAATTTTTTCTTCATGGTTTATTGTCCCCATGTGAGAAAACACTTTCTAAACACAGCTACGTATTTGGACCAAAATATTCTTCATAGGATGATGCATTGTCTTTGCATAAATAACGAATCAGTAATTATATATCACACATAAAAAACGACATTATAACTGGTCGAAGCACAGCTTCAACCGTTTGTGAATAAAAGGAAAACCTCCCCACAACTTAACTGCAACTTCAAAATTTCTACCAGCCTCATGATTTGTAAGTTTTAATATGGAAGTTTCTGCTTTCTACACTTTACACGATGGGGATTATGAAAACAGTGCTGCTGGGAGAATGGAAGGAGTAGGAGTGCGTTCTTAAAGTACATTTTAGCAGAGTTGGGAGTAAATTGCAGCATAATAGTCAAGGTAGGACAACTGCTAGGCTTGATAAAATAATGGTTGGGGATAAAGAATGGATAATTTCCTACAAGAGAGATTTGTATAAAATATAAAAGAAAACTGTACCGAAGCACATATAAATATGAGCTGGGCATGACTGAAAGGCAGTAAATATCTATAATCTCTTCTCTATAGTACAAATCTTTTCATATAATACAAATGAAAAATAATGTACTATGGAAATAATTTAAGCATGATTTAAACTACAGTTAATGATTAATATTTGAAAATACACACATTTATATATAGCAAATCAATCAAATAAATCCCAAGTCATATAAGCTGTTGAAGAAACAAATTATATTTATAACCAAATAAATGTGTTGAAAAACTCAATTTTTCTAAGAGAAACCACTGATCACATTATTGCAAATGTTTATGTATAGTTCAAAAGATCAGTTTCTACAAAGTCACAATGTATTAATAAAAATCATCTTTTCCACGCATTAAACTGTTAGAACTATTAAACTATTAGAAAATTCAACTCGAATTCAAAAAGCATTTGCAAACAAATTTTGCTTTGAAATTTTATATGATCCATGATTATTTAGAGTAATTGCAATGTCCTCTTATTCCAATATTATTAAATACCCCTGTATTACAATATGCATATAAACAATGTAATATGCCCCTGTATTACAATACGCATATAAACAATCGTTCTTTTATTTTCCTTCAGATATTTTGTTTGGATTTCTACATATGGTGCCTCTTGCTATTATCTAATTCTCCTAATACCAGAATAGAAAAGCAGTCACTTTGCTCATGGCATAATTTTGCCTTCATTTAACTAATTGGGATTATTAAATTTGTGCTTAAGAGCTGTGAAACAGATTCCAGAGGAGAAAGATCTTAACCAGTGTATTAAAAATCTCTGTTGCCAGTACTTTTGTCCCTACTTCAAGGCAAGACTGAAGAATCGAAGACTAAAATATGAGAAGAAATCATACATCTCTCAAGGGATCTTCTGCTAGGTTTTACGAGACCAAAGTTCTAACTCAGCCCCAAGTCGGCCGAGAATGGGTTTTCATAGACACATGCTTAAGTTTCTGTATGACCAGAGAAATATATCTGCTATCTCTAATTTCAAAATATTTCCAGAATCTGACATTCTCTCACTACCGACCAAGTCCAAGCCACCAGCATCTCTTTTTCAACTCTTGTTGATTCTATTATTGGTCCCCTACAGTTCTACTCTCAACCCAGAAGCCAGTGTGATCCTTTTAAAACATGATTGAGATCATGCCACTCAACTGCTCAGAAACTTACAATTGCTCTCATCTCATTTAGAATCTTCTTTACAATGGCCCCAAAGGCCCTCCACAATCTGGACACTCACAACTCCCATATCCTCATCTCTTTCTACCCTTCCACTGGCTTGTTTTGCTTCAGCCACTTTGGCCTTCTTGTTGGTGCTTGATTAAGATAAGCTCAGTCCCACATTTGGGCCTCTACTCTATTTCCTCTACACAGACTCCATGGCTGACTCCCTTACCTTCTTCCAATCTTTGCTCAAAGGTCATTTCTACCCTATTTGAAATGGCAATTCCGCCACTTTCAATTATACCTACGTCTACCCCTGTAGTGGTCCTATATCCCCTTAACAGATTCTGGTTTTTTTTTTTTTCCCAAAATACGTATCACCTAGTAATACGCAATATTTACTTATCATTTTTCTTTGTTTGCTTGCTTCTATTCTGTCTCCCAATGTTATAATAAAAGCTGAATGAGGGCAAAGATTCGTTAGTCTTTTTCACTGTTTTATAAGCACTTAGAATAGTGTGTGGTACATACTAAGAGCTTAATAACTATTTTTGGAATATACGAATCCACATTCCTTAGGTTTACTTGTCCTAACAATTTTTTGTTTCTCAAGAGCAATGCAAAAAACCTGAACTCAAGAGGACTTGAACGACCTGGCTTCACACTATCTTTGGCTTATAAGCTCACTACCAGCTTTCCCTTGTGGTCTCGAACTTGAACAAGGGTTGTCTCTATTTCTTGATCCTATTTAAAATCTACATTAGGACCACCATGTCTCCTACCCGTGAGCTTTCTTCATATGGCCACGTTTTTCATCACCCTCTTGGTTACCCAAAGTATAGCACATTTTATTCATTCCAAACAAGGCATCTGTACTATAATTGGTTTTGATGAGACAACTGAAATGATGTGTGCCTGATATTTTTTCTTTCCTTCCATTTATTTCCTCCTTGTTTCTCTCCTTATTTTATTTCTTTTCTTCAATTCTCCCTCCCTCCTTCCCTCACTCTCTTTCTTCCTTACTTCCTCCCTTCCTTCCTCCTCCTTTCAGTGATTTGAAACTCCAGTGCAATGTGGAATATTGAAGGGATGTGGGCAGATATCCTTGTCTTGTTCATGTTCTTCAGGTGAAGACATTCTGCTCTACCATAAAGAATAATATTAGCTGTAAATTGATTCTCATTATTGCAAAAGGTAAAGCATAGTTGTCATTCTTATTATAAGCTATGTTCTTATTTTTGTCCTAAAAATTCACATTTATTGATACCAAGGCCTAATTGAACAGCTAAGGATTCCCTGAATGAGGGAGCAGCAGAATCACTTGAAGAATTCCACTCCAAAGGCATGAACTATTTCTAAGAATTTCTCTACGTAAATGCTAACTACACAGTAAATATGTCATTATTTATTTCAAAAATGTCCTAGATAGAGTTCCCCTATAAGCAGATTCGAAGACAAGGGATGTCTTTGGGAATGATCCAAGGAGGTGCTAGTAAAGTGTGTGTAAGGTAGGACAGGGAGCAAGTGAAATGTATCCTATGAGGCAGGTTTTTACTGTGTGCGATGGGGTCTTAATCCTGGAACAGAATTTTGGGTCAGAGCATAAATCATGCTTCAGAGTTACCCTAACTGAAGAATGAGTGAGTAGTGGTATTTATCCACCAAAAGTTATTTGTTATTGGTTGAGGTTTGCTGGGGAACACGGGGGATGCAGAACTTTAACTACCTGACACTCATGAGCTTTGATTACTAGAGAGAGCCCTAAGGCAAACAGTCAGAGACACTTGGATCTGGCAGCTACCAGTCAGAGTACAAGGCATGCTGAGTCAGGAAATGATATGGGTGACATCCCAAGAGTGTTTCATCCTCCAATAAAACTGATGCTTTCAGTAAAATTAGGCATATGGACACATGATGATAAATCCTTTCAGTTAAGTCTTTTAAGTGGATCATTTCTGCTTTTAGGATAAGCTTTCAAATATTTAACTCTCTCCAGAGAAAACCTTTTGGTAATTTAAAACTTACGATGCTAAGAAATTCTGTGTTCATGCTTTCATATGAGATACTTTAAGGCAGGATTTGACGGTTTAACACAGTAATTATATTTTGGAAAATTTTATCATGAAAATGATTTTTTCTTAAAAATGAAATGCAAGTTAATATTGCTCTAAACTTCCAAAAAATTGCAATTCTTCTAAAATTATGTACTCTTGTCTGTTATGAGTATTATTAACTTTGTACATATAAGCAATCACAATCAATTAACTGTTAATATTGGCTCTGAAGTAAGAAAGAAAATATTACTTATGTGTATGTTTCTCATTCTTCTCTAGCTCTGCCTTAGCTAGTGTTTTTGCTATTAAATGCAGATTTCCACATATGTATATATATATACGTATATATATATGTTTGTGTTTATCTGCATAGTCTCTGTCAACATGATTAGGTAGCTTTCCAATTCAATACATCTATTGAAACCATACGTGCTATTTTAGTTGTATTTTGTTTAGAAAGTAATTCTTTTAACATATTACATATTATTTGTGTTGTACTGCACTTTCAAAAAAGATGTATGTTAAAGCACAGCAATACTTACTATAGTTCTGTAATTTGATTCATGCATATCTGTCAGGAATAAAATCAACCACAATTTCAAACCTTCCCAACCAGCAGCTGTACAATTTATGCACTGCTTTTCCATTTTTACTACTGGATAATGACAATGATGAATGCCTTTAACAGGAAATACATATTCACTGAAAAGACTGAGCTCAAAACTATCCCCCTTCAAAAAAGTCAATGAAGGTAGGAAGCCCATTCACCTGCTGGAGATTTGTTGGGAGACAGAAGGAATCATGCCCACAACTGTATCTTATGGGGATTCAACCATTTAGCTAAATTAAATCTACAATAATACCATATTATAAACCGCAGTAATCAATACTATTACGATTGACATCAGCTATAATAATATTAAATAGATCAGGATGAACAAATGATTCACTGTGAGTGTAGCCAAGGGTCTAACATTCTGAGTATGCCAGGCTAAGAGGTATGGAGACAGAGTTATTCAATGGGCAACTTAATAAGATCAGGGTCACTACTCTCCTGAACCAAATGTCCATGAACCTGGGAAGGAATGGATATTAGCTCATTGGCAATAATTTACTTATTGAATGACAATGATGCACTTACAAACTATGCTGCCATGAGAACTTAGTTAATAGAAATAATGACAGGAATTCTGGCATGTCAGCTTTATTTTATTAACTGATTAGGTTTCTTTTCTTCATTGTACCAATAAGTGATTTGACTTTTACTTCAAACAGAATAAGAAACAGTGCCACACTGACATGGATGGAATAGTTCCAGAGATCTGTGAAGCTCTTATTTTACTGTGTAATTTTATAGCTTATTTGATATAATGTTAAGATATTAAAGTCAAGTCACTGAAGATACTGCAACACCGATTTCCAAAACAAACAAATAGCTTTATCCATTTGTATATTCATACAGGCAAATGTGTGATATAGAATGAGCTTCCAGGAAACCATTTGAGTATAAAATACTTTAGCTAATATGTGCTGCTGATAGCAAACCCATCTTTTGCCTATAATCACATACTGTTTGCATTTGAAAATACCAAGCTCTGGGTATACTATAATATTTCATTTTGAGTGTAAAATGTACGATCATGAAAATTATCTGGAGACACATTATTATGTGCATTTTCTTGATCCTACATTCATTTATCTTCAGACACTGCCTTCTGAAATTCATAGCCTATTTCATCATCATTATTTGCCTTACTTGAGAATTTAGTAACTTGCTGTTGGTGGTTTGAAAACAGCTGGATTTTGTTGGTAGCCTTTAACTGGCAGTTATAAAGAAAATATTTTATTGATTTCTATTCAATTTTATTCCATATGTTATAGCACAGGTATTGACATTAATTTGAAATTGAATATGTATACATAAAAAATATAAAACAAAAACAATATACATTACATATAAATGAAAAATCTAATTTCCCTTTTTGGAAAATGAAACAGAAGTCATCCATTAACTAGGAATAAACTGTTCTTCCATCAAAGTTTATTTACTGGTGGTTCCTTTCTGTCCCTACTGCATGTAAAAATGATCATTTTTGTGCATTTCTTCATTTTAGGATGTCTCTCAAAGCTAAATATTGTAAAATACATTTTCTAACTTATGTCTTTCTACCCTAGATTTCTGAAGCCAACCACACTATCAAGTATTTTTAAGAATTCCATGTGAAAGTCAAAATGCCATCATGATGCATACAATTTAAGTCAATTGTTCTGGCACTATGAATGATCAGTATGATCACCTTGTAAAATACGAATGAAAGTGCTTTGGTTTTACCTTCAGAGACTCCTCTTGCTTAAAGAGATCTTCAAAGTCCTTAGCACAGAGGTCAGGAGCATTGAGAAGTTGTTCCACTTCTAATAGGGCTTGTGAGACATGAGTGATTTCAGTCAAATAAGTAGAAGGCACATAAGAAATTTCCAAAGGCATGTCTTCAGTCATCACCATCATCGTTTCTTCACGGACAGTGTGCTGGTATAGATATACAAAAGAACAATTTTTTTTAGCTTCCTAACAGTGAAACCTCCTCCATTAAGTTTATATAGGTCTCATTCTACAGCTGACAATTGAATCTACAAACTGGGCTGAAAATGGATTCAAAACCTCACGATGGTAAGTCTAGTAAAACGGTGATTTATTAATTATATACCTACTTTTTCCAGAAAGTGTTAAAAGCATTTCATAATAAGTGACACACACATATTAGCACCATAAATATAAGACGAAAGACCATGAGGTCATAAGGAGAGTAGTTTTATCCTAAGAAAAAGACGATTTTTGCAACCGGCATTTAAATTTCTAATTCTAATTTGCAACTGGCATTTAAAATTCTAATTTTCCTGGAAATCTAGATATGGGATTGGGTGAGGGGGACTCATATCTGTTTTATTCCTAACACAGGCAACTTTCCTGTATCTATAGGAAAGTTCACTGAGATACAACAGATACGAAGTAGTTAGGCTGGTATGTAACTTTGTATTAAGCCCTCTTCTCCTCCAAATTCTAGACATTAGCTCCTGTTTTTGTTGCTAGTCTCTTGCTAAGTTAAGCTGCTAATGAAGCTGCTATATGAGCAGAACTGACTGCGGAATTTATATTTTAAAAAGAACTCCAGAATGTCCTGATATATAAGGGAGCACTAGCCTCTTCTCTTGCACCTACACTTTTCTGACTGGGATCCAAGTGCTAGACATGATGAGAATTTCCAGCTCCAGAGTCCTTTTGGAGTTTCCCAGTAATACATCTTTCCCTATTCTTTATAAGAGCAAAAAATAAATACTACTTGGCAGGCAAATTCAGAAAGATGGATGACCTGTGCTCTCTTCTGTCTACACTATAGGCAGCAAAATTCTTGTAATTGAAATTATTCTCCCAATAACTTTGTCTAGAATTGATCAACTGCCACCTGCCTGTTGATGAGGTCACCTGAGGGTTTCAGTGGTAGGGTCTCTGGGGAAGTACAAACGATAAGCATGCTAACGTAGCCATTTATTACTGCACAGCCTTTTATGACAACACCATACTTATTTTTGCAGTAATGTAATACATTGGACTTTGGGGATACTAGACTGAACCCCACACAAAGAGGAGTAAAATTTACAAGCTGGTCACTTTATGTTTTGTTTTTAATTTCTCTGACCTAGGATTTTCATACTCAATTCTTACATGATATAAAAAATGAAGTAATTCTAATTTAGATATCTCATCTACTTGTGATATAGCAAATTCACAGAATTGCACAAATTAGCTATTAAATAATTATACCTTTTACAACATTTGTTTTATTGTGTATATCTGGGCCAAATCCATGGCACACATTCCTTCATGTTCAATGGAATAATGTATATATATTTCTCATTTACATTTAAAAGGATATTAGAAACTTGAGCCAGAGTTTGATAAATAAAATTCAGAATTTAACAGATTTCTTAAGAAATTCTTAATTTCACTATTTCATCATAAGCATTTTACACATTTAAAAGAAAAATAACTCAGCAGGCTATTTGAATGTGAAATTTTCACTGACACATTAAACAGTAGAATCAATAGCACAAGTAACACAAGCTTGTGTTTTGCACGCATTACATTGGTTGGTGACCATTATGTTGTTCTTAATAAAATTTACAAGTTAATAAGCTCGTCTTTCTTATTCACGTTAGTTGCTATAACCCCTGCAGTAAAGATAGCTTCACATCATCTAAAGCAAGCGTATTTCTTATAATACTTATTTAATGGTGCAATTAAATCTGCCTTTAATGATACATTTTACACCTGTAAGTTTTTGGAAAACAAAGGTTTTTGTTATCAGGAACAGAGTAAGTAGAAGACAAGTTGTAGTTTTTCATTTATTTATTAATTTGTTTTGTTGTTTAATCAAGGGAGTTGTTTCAGAATTGGACATATCTTGAAAATATTTAGAAAAAAATCTGGGTGGCCTTAACAAAAGCAGTGGGAATTCAGAAAAGTTTTGATGCATGTCCTCATCACTTTTTCTTAAAAGAAAAATAATTCTAAGATGTTTTTATCTATTTTCTGATTCTTCTTTGATATGTAGTTTTCTCAGTCTTCATTACTTTCATTTGAGATGCTCTCAGCTATCTTAAATTCATATTGGTGCTTAATAAATATAGTAATTGTGGATTATAGCCAGCAAGAAACTTAGCTGTATGGTCAAATATAATGAAGAAAAAGACACTCAAAATATACTCACTTTTGTCTGCTAACTTGTATTTAACTTCCTTAAATGAAATTTCAAACCCAAATTTTGACTATTTTGGTATTTGCAGAAAGGAACGTTAAATAAAAATGAGATTTGCCAATGAATCCAGGAGCTGGTCTTTTGAAAAGATTAACAAAATAGATAGACCACTAGCCAGACTAATAAAGAAGAAAAGAGAAAAGAATCAAAGAGGCACAATAAAAAATGATAAAGGGGATATCACCACCGATCCCACAGAAATACAAACTACCATCAGAGAATACTATCAACACCTCTACGCAAATAAACTAGAAAATCTAGAAAAAATGGATAAATTCCTGGACACATACACCCTCCCAAGACTAAACCAGGAAGAAGTTGAATCCCTGAATAGACCAATAACAAGTTCTGAAATTGAGGCAGTAATAGCCTACGAACCAAAAAAAAAAAAAAAAAAAAAAGCCCAGGACCAGACGGATTCACAGCTGAATTCTACCAGAGATACAAAGAGGAGCTGGTACCATTCCCTCTAAAACTATTCCAAGCAATACAAAAGAAAATAAATTCTTCCCTAACTCTTTTTATGAGGCCAGCAGCATCCTGATACCAAAACCTGGCAAAGACACAACAAAAAAGAAAATCCTCAATAAAATACTGGCAAACCAAATCCAGTAGCACATTAAAAAGCATATCCATCACAATCAAGTAGGCTTCATCCCTGGGATGCAAAGCTGGTTCAACATACGCAAATCAATAAATGTAACCCATCACATAAACAGAACCAATGACCAAAAAAACCACATGATTATCTCAATAGATGCAGAAAAGGTCTTGGATAAATTCAACACCCTTTCATGTTAAAAACACTCAATAAACTAGTTATTGATGGGACAAATCTCAAAATATTAAGAGCTATTTATGACAAACCCACAGCCAGTATCATACTGAATGGGCAAAAGCTAGAAGCATTCCCTTTGAAAACTGGCACAAGACAAGGATGCCCTCTCTCACCACTCCTATTCAACATAGTATTGGAAGTCCTGGCCAGGGCAATCAGGCAAGAGAAAGAAAGAAAGATATTCAAATAGGAAGAGAGGAAGTCAAATTATCTCTGTTTGCAGATGACATGATTGTATATTTAGAAAACCCCATCGTCTCAGCCCAAAAACTCTTTAAGCTGATAAGCAACTTCAGCAAAGTCTCAGGATACAAAATCAACGTGCAAAAATCACAAGCATTCCTATAAACCAATAACAGACAGAGAGCCAAATAATGAGAGAACTCCCATTAAAAATTGCTACAAAGAGAATAAAATACCTAGGAATACAACTTGCAAGGGATGTGAAGGGCCTCTTCAAGGAGAACTACAAACCACTGCTCAAGGAAATAAGAGAGGACCCAAACAAATGGAAAAACATTCCATGCTTATGGAAAGGAAGAATCAATAACATGAAAATGGCCATAGCGCCCAAAGTAATTTATAGATTCAATGCTACTCCCATCAAGCTACCATTGACTTTCTTCACAGAATTAGAACAAACTACTTTACATTTCATATGGAACCAAAAAAGGGCCCATATAGCCAAGAAAATCCTAAGCAAGAATAACAAAGCTGGAGGCATCACGCTACCTGACTTCAAACTATACTATAATGCTACAGTAACCAAAACAGATTATACTGATAGCAAAACAGATATATAGACCAACGGAACAGAACAGAGGCCTCAGAAATATCACCACACATCTACAACCATCTGATCTTTGACAAACCTGACAAAAACAAGCAATGTGGAAAAGATTCCCTATTTAATAAATGGTGTCGGGAAAACTGGCTGGCCATATGCAGAAAACGGAAACTAGACCCCTTTCTTACACCTTATACAAAAATTAACTCATGATGGATTAAAGACTTAAACCTAAGACCTGAAACCATAAAAACTCTAGAAGAAAACCTAGGCAATACCATTCAGGATACAGGCATGGGCAAAGACTTCATGACTAAAACACCAAAAGCAACAGCAACAAAAGCCAAAATTGACAAATGGGATCTAATTAAACTGAAGAGCACAGCAAAAGACCCTATCATGAGAGTCAACAGGCAACCTACAGAATGAGAGAAAACTTTTGCAATCTATCCATCTGACAAAGGGCTATTATCCAGAATCTATAAGGAACTTAAACAAATTTACAAGAAAAAAAAGACCCCATCAGAAAGTGGGCAAAGGATATGAACAGACACTTCGCAAAAGAAGACATTTACGCGGCCAACAAACATAAGAAAAAAACCTCATCATCACTGGTCATTAGAGAAATGCAAGTCAAAACCACAACGAGATAGCATCTCACACCAGTTAGAATGGCGATCATTAAAAAGTCAGGAAACAACTGATGCTGGAGAAGATGTGGAGAAATAGGAACTCTTTTACACTGTTGGTGGGAGTGTAAATTAGTTCCACCATTGTGGAAGACAGTGTGCAGATTCCTCAAGGATCTAGAACCAGAAATACCATTTGACCCAGCAATCCCATTACTGGATATATACCCAAAGGATTATAAATCATCCTACTATAAAGACACATGCACACGTATGTTTATTGCAGCACTGTTCACAATAGCAAAGAATTGCAACCAACCCAAATGCCCACCAGTGATAGACTGGATAAAGAAAATTGACACATATACACCATGGGACACTATGCAGCCATAAAAAAGAATGAGTTCGTGTCCTTTGCAGGAACATGGATGAAACTAGAAACCGTCATTCTCAGCAAACTAACACAGGAACAGAAAACCAAACACTGCATGTTCTCACTGATAATGGGAGTTGAACAATGAAAACATATGGCCGCAGGGGCCTGTTGGCGGGTGGGGGGCAAGGGGAGGGATAGCATTAGGAGAAATACCTAATGTAGATGACAGGTTGATGGGTGCAGCAAACCACCACGGAACATGTATACCTATGCAACAAACCTGCACGTTCTGTACATGTATCCCAGAACTTAAGTATAATTAAAAAAAAAAAGAAAAAATCATTCAGTGACACTGGATAAAATAAAAATTAGATTCACTTAGAAAATAATAATTCGTGCTCTCAGACCAGAATTCTGTGTCTCAGCAAATAAGATCCAGTGTTAATCATAGTCCTAAACCAGGGCTTAAAGAATGTAGGCAGCACACCATACCCTGGCTTCTCATCTGTTAAGCTTCTCTCCACCTGACCCCATGTGTCTACCATAGATTATTATATACCGATTTAACAAATATTCTTCAGAACATTAAACTAAAAACCATTTTCACCTATCTTTCAAAGAAAATCTCTTTTAGAAGAGTGTTATGTGGCATCTATTTAAATTGCCAATTTTTCTGGTAATCATCCTTTTACTCTCTGTACAAGAGTTCAATTTTTAAGAAAATTTTAGATACCTAAGTGACAAATAATTGTAATTCTGTATCTGGTTCTAGAAATCATTTTTTACAAACTTTTAAATAATGAAGAAGCTCTTATTAACCTGATCGAAATACTCTTAAAAGAAATATTAGCCATTGAACTGCAGGTTGAGAATGCTCTAATAATATGCATATTGTGATTATTTTCAAGATTGTCACAAATAAGCCATAGAGCAACCAGTGTCAATACATGGAAATAATCCCTACATGCTCAGCCATGGCATGAACACATTTTCTAGAACACTTAGAAATATTAAAATTCTTATGGTTGAACATAATCAATAAAAAGGTATAGTTTATTACTTTAGAAAAATCTGAATGAGAAAAATCATTTCTATCCTCAACTACTGATAATTAAGTAATCTTTCAAAAATTTTTCTTTCCATTATAAAGATAAATTAGAATACCTGTAATTTCTAAGATGCTTCTCATTACAATTACCTATGGGCAACAGTTCAGCTATACGTTATAAAGTCTAAAAGGTTAATGTTATACTTTAAATATATTTAATGAAGACGGATCTATTGAAAGATTTACTATCTTGATACGTAGTGTCCAGTCATCACAGATAACAGACACTAAGTGGTACAGATCAGCTGACTAGAGAAAACTAAGGGTTGATCCTGTGAACTTTCTTGAGAAATAGAAATATTCCAAAATAACTTTTTGACACCACTGGGAAACTGTGAACTCATTTTCTAGAAAATTCCGTGTTATTAAGTTTGAATATTCTCATTTATTATAGCAATCTGATATATACAATAATGTTTAATATATAGACTTTTTTGTAATTTTCATATACAAGAAACTACCAGAAATTGAATCAAAAGAGAACCAGACATTTGGAGATCTAGTTTGCTATCTATTCCTTAAAAGTATAGCATTCCTATTGACACAGTCATGCGAATCTATAATGAGAAAACTACATCCATTGAATGACTTTCAGTTTGGTTTAATAAAAATTTCAGACAGTTATTTAAAAATCAGTGTAATTAGAAATATCATGTTCATTTTCTCTTCTTTATGCAAAATCCAGGTACTCATTCAGATTAATCCTTTTCATTTGAATTTCATTAACTCTGCCTTGAATAATTTTATCCTTCTGAGTTCTGATGTGTACAAATCCCGTCTAACCTTTTGAAAATCAACTTGCTTTTGTTAATGTTCTTT
The DNA here is from genome assembly GCF_000001405.40 of Homo sapiens. Taxonomy (NCBI): domain Eukaryota; kingdom Metazoa; phylum Chordata; class Mammalia; order Primates; family Hominidae; genus Homo; species Homo sapiens. Next base: position 32,317,121 of record NC_000023.11, read on the forward strand.
ACCACCTTATATCATTATAGATACTCATGCATCATTAGCAAGGAAATGCTATAATCTGATTAATTCATTTTATTTCTTTGTGTTTATTTTCATTTTTAACCATATATACCCCAAAGAATATACTAGCCTCATTTTCTAGAAACAAAAAGATATGTGAAAGAAACCATAAAATGCCTATTTTTATTTAAAAATGAAAAGTTCGATCAATGCTTAATGACTATTATAGAACACAATTATGATTTGTATGATCTAAACTTAAAGTCAAAACAGTTTTAAGATTCTGAGCTGTGTAAATAGGCACAGGTATCACTCACAAAGTTTTGAATACATTTTCATTCATCTGAAACTTAAGTTATCACATTCTTTTCATTACATAAAATTTGTTTCTTGAAGGGCCATAACTGCAAAGGATAAAAGCAATCCTGTTTTGAAACAAATGGTGCATTATGTCTAGGTTTTTAAACAAAATGTTTTCCTCCATGATTTAAAAGACTTCTTTCTCCTTTAAATGCATTGAGGTTACTGGCCCATTTATGAGTTATGAGGTCAAAGAAACTCAAGAAGAAAAATGTGCTATATGACATATGATTATGACATATGCCACAAAATAACTATATATCTCATATAAATATGGCACATGAAAAATATATCAATGCATCAAAAGTGTAACAAAAATAGACTATTATCTTGACCAAAAACAGTAAAATAGTGATGGAGCCTTTTTTTTTTTAACTGCGTTGGTGTTAATGAAGATGAAAATAAGCAAATCCTCAAAGTAAGATTTATTAATGATTTAGTGTGAGCTATAATATGAAAATCTATGAGCCATAATATGAAAGTATGTCAGTTTGTATCTGATTATCTTTCCTCAAAGGGACATTCTTAAATATTATGGATTATTTAAAAGTAATAACACAATGATATGTAAATCCAAAATAGGACTGCAGGCTTTAAGTAGGTTCTGATGGGTCATAAATGAAAAGGCAATGGGAAAGACTTAAGTCTTAGACAAGTAGCTCTGTCTCTTAGCCCCACAAGTCTTCAGAGAAAGACAAGTTTCCTTCTAGGAATCATTACAGTAATAAACAAAGTTGAGAGATTTTTTATTTATTTCTCCTGGACAATTATAATAGGCATTGTAAGCATAAAAATGCAAATCACAAACAAATTAGGCAAAAATATTGTATTGGTCCAGGGTGATTAAAAAACCCCAAACAATAAAGCATAAAAACAAAACAACATGATGCAGGTGAGACGGGTATGGTTTTAATCTGCGTTGTCACTGTTTTGGATACATATAATGGCATGACAATAACAGCATTCTGACAGTACTTCGTTTTGTCTGTTTTAGTCAAGTCACTGGGTAGAAAGATGTTGAATAATCAATCTAATGAGTCTAAGCATATTGGTTATGACCGTGCATAGAAAAAATAGCAATGAGAGAGTGTTTGCTCTTATGTGATTTCCCCCTTCCTATTGCATCATCTAAAAAATTGCTTATGTGAAGCTATGTAACCAAAAAAAGGGCCTGTCCATCTCAGAATAATTATTCAGAATCAATGAACAATTTACCCCCTTTGTTTAAAAAGAATAAAACTCACTAACATACACAAAATAGTCAAGGTAAAATATGAAAGAAAATCATCCTTTATGCCCATATTATTTATTTTCTAAAGTTAGAATTAATTTTTAAAGCAGGGCAGGCTGTCAGCGAAAAAGATATGCAGATGATGCTGGATTTGCCAGTCTTTAAATACACCCTGCTTCTAGAAGGCCAGGTATAAATAGTGTCCTATGTAAAAGGTCTGGACAGACCTGCTCATTGACCTGCCTCATGTGGATTCTGACTTTCTACACCATGAAATTTACCTAATTCCTCAGGGCCAAGCTCAATTACTATCAAATTAAGCTGATAAACTGAATCTGGAAAATGTGTTAATGGCTTATAGTGGTTTAAAGTCTTTCGTTTCAAAGGACAACATTTGCATTTTTATACAGATTTTCAAAGAATTAACATAAATTAGTAACTTGATAAAATTTTAGTCACTAAGTATGGCCTGTGAGAGAAGAGAAAGAAAAGGGCTTTGGTTGCCACCAAGATAAGTATCAACACATAAGCAGCAATATATAAGCACCAACAATCATGGCCTGCTTTGTAAAACCATCTCCAAAAAATAACCTATAAATTAATAGATAAGGTTATACACCCTAGCCAACTTATAAGGCAGCAAAAAATAAATGCAGCAAAGACTCATGCCTAGTACCTAGCATACAGTATGTTATCAAAAATATTTGTTGGATAAATTAATGAAAAAACAAGTATCAACTTAACAGGATAATTATAAGATAGATATGTGGTTACAATTGCTGGGATTTACATTTATAATTTATATTTAGGAATATTCAGAATTCAAACAGGAATATTTTCTTCATTTTATAATGCAATCTTTATTGTCATAGATTTAAAAGGTATATCTGATTTCACTATGTCGCATTTCTTCAATTCATAGCACATTAGCTACATGCTATTGTACATGCGTGCTTAGGTCCTTAAATTGTCTTTTAGTTACTAATCTGACTCATTATACTTGAATACAAACATAAGCAATTATTTGAGGTAATGACATATAGACGATATTAAGATATACTGATTTTAGCTTCTTCATGGGTATCATAATGTCTATTAGCAAATTGAAGGGTATGAGAAGACTTGTATTCAAAAAATCATTTTAACCTTTGATAACTCTTCCCAAACTCTTCTCATAAAAGTTTTCGTTTACATATCTAGTATATATTTTTTATTTTAAGCTATTCCAAAATTTCAGCTTGGGAATACTTGCTATAGCAATCTTTTTGTATGTTGACAAGCAAATCGAACCCTCCCTCCACCTCACACACATACTTATACTTAATTCAGTGTGAAAATAAAAGTAACACAAGAAAAAATAAGTATGGAAAGACCTTAAATACTGCAGTTATATTTCACCCTCCTATATCGCTTTTAACTTCTGTTGCCTTGTGGATCTGTCAACTTGAGTAGATTTTTCAGAATAAACTCACACTTTTATTTCTATATTACATTTGTCACACCCCTCAGAAAATGTGGACACTATCTCTAGATTAATGCGGCAACTCAGTATCTATGTCTAAATATGCATGTGTCATAATTATGTTTTTCAAGGAAGTATTCTCTTCATTAGAAATGCGAGTGATAGTAAAGATGCATATAATTACACTATCCCGTATGGTAGTCATTAGCTACACTTGACGAAAGAAATGTAAATCTAAATTATTTAAAAGCAAATACAATTAAAAACTTAGTACATCTGTTTTTACTAGCCATGTTTTAAGTTCTCAGTAGCCTCAATAGCTACTTTATTGGACAGTGTAGATATAGAACATTGCCATCATCTCAGAAAGTTCTATAGGACAGTGCTAATCTAGAGAATGACAATACATTTTATTTATAGAAAAGGTTAATACCAAAGTATGTTCTGTAATCGTTTTTTATTCTACTCAGTCTCTGTCCAAAGGGCTGTCTAGTACTTAATGTGGTTAAAGTTACCTAATGAGCACTCAATTAATATTCTTTTATAATGGCAATCATACAAGAAAGAAAGATTTGTTTCTTTTTCAAATTGCTTATTAAAATATAACAATGTGTTCTATTTTAAATAATGTGAAAACTAAGATTATATGAATAATTCTAATGCTGGTATTATATCTATCAGAAAATACTTGTAGCCTAGTTTTTTCACAAAGGTAATTTAGACAGGCTACTAAATCCAAACTAAAATGTCACAAGGTGAAAACTCAACTAATTTGTTATTATTCTATATCCAATTGATTTTACTGAATTGCTAATACACTGTATTTTGTTTTCAGGTAGACACAGCCTAAATCTGTAAGTAATCTCACTCAACTCTGAAGATAATTAATTTAAAAACCTATTATTGTGAATTATACATAATTTGCATTATTTATATGGTCAAAGCTTATTAATTATATATATGCACATGTATGTATGTACGTGTCTGTGCAAATACAGACACACAAAATAGAAATGTTGAGAATGGGTAAATCACATCGTAGATATGTTTTCTGTTTCACTTTGAACTGAGTCCATGCAACGTCAAGATAATCACAACTAACTGCTACAATTTAGAAGAATATATGTATCAGGACCTCAAATTATGGAAAAAAAAATTGCAGGTGAAGAGAGAATGATGATGAACTGGTGATATTTCAAAGTTATGTGTATCTTGGCACGATCTGAGACAGAAATGATGGATCTGATGGTTTTCAAGTATATATGTGGAATGATCTGTTGGAGACCATTGATTTAAGGAGATCTGTTTGACTTAAGAAGGGGGTCAGTACCTGCTAGTTTGTTTCATGCAGGCATTACTGGAGAGTGGCTGTACTACATGGTTGAGGACAGCCTTACTTCCACCCCTTGTCCATGAGATCAGAGATGTTTTCCCATATGTAAATTTTGTGAATAGGTTTCAGCTTGTTAAATAATTATTCATCAGATCAAAACAACAACAACAACAACAAAACTTCCAGTATCCATGTTGCTTCTCAATCAATCACTATGCATCAAAATATCAAAACCTTAACTGCATTTGCGCCAAGACATTTTACATTCTTTGACTTAGGCATGAGAGAAAATAAAGCAAAGGCTTTTTCAGAAGACACAAGGGGCTGGAGAGAAAGACAAAGCTGAGAGTCCATACAAGTAGTATACTAGAAGATACGGAAGGTACATTTAATAAAAATAAAATTAGAAACATTAAAAGGTTAACATTAGAGCACAGAAAGCCTGTTACCTAGTTTTTAAATAACAATAGACAACTTAGAAAAGAGAATGATCATGGCTAAAAATAAAATATGGGTTCTTTACAGTCAACCAGAAGAAGTATATCACAATTTAAAGACAAATAGAAATAAACTGACATTAATAGTGAAAAAATAAGAGACTTAGAGAACAGATCTAAGATACCTATTAAGCAATGATAAGTACCAGAATGAGAAAAAAGAAGAGATGGAAGATTTGTAATAATTAAAACAATCATAATAGAAAATTTTCCAGAGCTAAAGAAGTTATTAATATTAATTGGTTATTTAAAACGTTACCCAAGTGCAAAAAAGAATTAAATAAGTGGTGGGTCACAACTGAAATCCCAGCACTTTAGGAGGCTGAGGTGAGAAGATTACTTGATTCCAGGAGTTCAAGACCAGCCTGGGCAACATAATGACACATCATCTCTACAAACAAATGTTTTAAAAATTAGCCAGTCATGGTACTGATGGCCTGTAGTCCCAGCCACTAAAGAGGCTGAGGCAATAGGATCTCCTGAGCCTAGGAGTTGGTGGCTGCAGTGAGCTATGATTGCATCGCGGCACTCCAGCTTGGGCAATAGCAAGACCCTGTCTCAAAAATAAAAACAAAATAAAATAAAATAAAATAATAAACAGGGACACATTTAGAAACATTTAAAATTATATCTTAATGAAATTTCTGTACTTCAATAGATGGGACAGACAGCAACTTTAGAGTTTGAGAGAAAGAAAAAAGGTTAAATACAAATAAATGATACTTGGACTAGAATCAGACTTTACACTGGAAACAATAGTAGCTTGAAGATAGTTGAAACAAGAAAACAATGGAAACTGGAAGACAATTGTTCATAACCTACAGAGACTACTAAAAAAAGAGGAGAGATATTAAAGAATGTTACTATCCAATAAATCCATCATGATGACTGCAAAGCAAAGATCATTTCGAAAATGCAAGGTTTACAAAGTTTACATCCTTTATGTTTTTACGAGGACATTTCTCATGTGTTCCAACCAAATTAAAACTGAAGTACAGTTGGCCCTCTGTATCCATGGGTTCCACATTTGTGGATTTAACCAGTCATCGATCGAACACATTTGCAAAAATACATGGATGGCTGTGTCTGCACTGAACATGTACAGACATTTTTATTGCCATTATTCCCTAAACAATACTGCATAACAACTATTTACATAGCATTTACATTGTATTGGGTACTATAAATAATCTAGAGATGATATGAAGTGTTCAGGAGGGTGTCCATAGTTACATGCAAACACTATGCCATTTTATATAAATAATTTGAGTATTCTTGAATTTTGATATCAAAATGCTGAAACCAGTGCCCCACAGACACTGAAGGATGACTGTGTAATAAAGATTTCAAAACAATGAGAAATAAACGGTACAAAAAAACAGTGACAGGAAATACACCTTGTGTCGTTTGTGGTCAAATTTTATGAAGTGATAGTGTAATTTAAGTAATAACATGACATCTTGAACTAGTATGTGATACTACAAGTGAAAACAATAGTAGCCAGGAAATAAAATTATAAATTATTTCTTTTTAAAGGATTTTGCCTTTGATTGAAAATAATGAGGAGTTGACTAAGTAAATCATCTTGGTGATGAGGGCATTGTTCTTATTTAATTTTGGCGCAACACTACAGAAATATAGGCATAAAATTGTTGTTTAAAATGGGAAACAGCACTAGTAAAATGATAGTACAAAGTATAACTTATAAATAACCTATAAGTGCGGGAAGAGATGCAGTAGAGTGCAGTGAAGAAGATGATGAATTATAAAATTATAGACAAGGGATAAGAGTAAATAAAATGATAAAATAATGACCATCAATATGACAAGGAATTAAAACAGACACAGTTATAAGAGTTATTGTAAAAATGAAGTTGGTTAAAATGTCTCATCTAAAGATGAACTATCTATCATTTTTATATCTTCATAAGATCAAGCACGTATTGGTAAGAATATGTGATTTTTTTTTATAGATACCAGAGGCTGGGAAGAGTGTAGGTGGGCGGAATGGGTGAAGAGAGATTGGTTACTGGGTACGGACATACAGTTGCATAGAAAGAGTAAGTGCTAATGTTTGAAAGAAGAGTAGGGTGACTATAATCAACAATATATTGTATCTCTCAAAATACCTAGAAGAGAGGAGTTGAACTATTTCCAACACATATAAATGATAAATACTTGAGATGATGGATACCCTAACTATCCTGACTTAATCATTATACATTCTATGCATGTAGCAAAATATTACATGTACCCTATAAAGATGTAAAAATATTTGCATAAGTTAAAAAGACAAAATTATCTAGTTTAAAATGCACACTCCATCTATAGGCTGTTTACAAGAAACATAAAAATACAAGGTCACAATGCTGCGTTAATGGTGATTTAGAAAACCATTTTTTAAAAAGTGAAAGTCACAAGAAACATAAAAATACAAGGTCACAATGCTGCGTTAATGGTGATTTAGAAAACCATTTTTTAAAAAGTGAAAGTCAAAATAATAGCATCAAATGAAGTATAGTTCAAGACCGAAAAGCACTAAATGGGTCTCAGAGAACCATTGTAATGACAAAAATCACACTTCTTCCCAAAGCACAGTAGTCATTAATTGCTATGCCCCAAACAATTGGGTGCATTCTACATAAGGTAAAAATTACTAGAAATAAAAGGAGAACATGATAAAATCATAGCTGTAGTTGGTACCTTACATACAACTCTTCTGTAATTTGTTAGATTAAAATAGACAAAAAATACAAATAAAAAACAAGAATAGAGGTGGTTTAAAACCGACAAGCTAAATTTAATCCGTATTTTGTGCACACTGGAAAAAGCATATTCTCCTATTTACTTGGGACATCAAAAATTACATAGAGAGGAAACTTTTAAAAGCATCAAAAAGAAAGATTTGATAGGCCACCTTTTCTAATCAAAATATAATAATCCAGAAATGTAGAAGAATAATAGAATACATTTTGATTCATCATCTAAGACTTTCACAAAGAATGTATAAGATCTATATACATTACCTGGGAACATGTTTCTAATTGACTGTTATATTTAAAATAATACACAGAATAAAGCAGTATTTTTTAAAAAAGTAAAATATATCTATATATACTATTCATTGGTAAGAATGAACAGTATATGGAATATAGTACAAAGAGATATCTAAGACTAAACTATAGACTTTTTAAAGACTAAATTGTAGACTTTTTTTTTGCTTCAGTGAGGGAGGAATCAGCAGAATGAAGAAATGAAGAGTAGTAAAGTTTCCTTAATCTACCTTTGTATTAATTGATTAAAGTAATACTGCAATACATTTAAAATAATCGCACAGAGCTCTGAACTAGCACTAAAGAGTAGATGCAAATAGATACAGATTTCAAGGTAAATTGAGTCTTTACATAACATATTTATCAGTAGGCATGGCCCCCTCTAATTGACTTTATTGTTCATAATAGACTTCACTTCTATTCAAGCTGCAGGAAGGCATGTACTACTAATTGGCTCCCAATATTATGGAAGCATAGACTAAGACAAAATTCAGAAGGGAGAATGAAAGCATTTTGAAACAATTTCACATCATCACCTAAAACCATATTGGTGCCCCTCACTGCATACCCAATTGACAGAAGAGTCGTGGCAAAGACTAGTGGCTGCTGTTGCCCATGAAGTAAAGAGAATTATTTTTAGGTGCCTGAGATTCCTGGAGATGAGGAAATTTAACAGCCAATGGCTAATAGCACTCTTATGTGACAGCATCCAATACTCGATATATTTTAATTGATCTTAAGTACTCAATTTTTTTTTTTTTTTTTTTTGAGACGGAGTCTCGCTCTGTTGCCCAGGCTGGAGTGCAGTGGCTTGATCTCGGCTCACTGCAAACTACACTTCCCAGGTTCAATTTATAAGCAACTAATTAAATAAGTATCACTAATGAGAAAAATACCCAAGCCAAAGTAAACATTTAGCTAAGGATATTGTAATCCATAAAAATACAACTTTTTGTTTGCATTTGAAATGACTGCTTCAATTCTCCCCATGTATTTGAAGTCACTTTGCTAAGCTGAAAAGTTTTCCTCTTTGGCCTGGCACATTAGACCATCTTTATTTCCATGCCCTTAACTTGAAGGGACACTAATGACATTGTGATATACTGATAACAGTATTTACAAAATTATCTGACCTAATTCCAAATAACAAGTTTGAGAGTTACCCTGCATTCTATTCTTCTTTGAAATATGCACAACAATTTCATATACCTGCAATAAAAAGCAGGCAGTTAAAAAAACACAACTTTAGGAACTCGACTAAAAGATGGAGAATAACCTACAAAAATCATAATCTTGATGAGTTCAGCAGGCATTTTTTTCAAAGCCAAAGGACATATTTTGCTAAGTAACTTAATAGATGTAAATAGCAAATAACATATAGCATAGCTACATAAATAAGCATATGTGTAACATATATGAATACATTTATGTGTGCCTATGCAGCCTCAGATGTAAATATAGAGATATAAGTTAGCTGGTGGCAGTGGTATGTGATTTAGGAAGCTAATATGCCATATGGCATTATGTATTAAACACTTTTGCACATAGGTAAGATATTAAAGATCCTTGGGCTGGGCGCCATGGCTCACACCAGTAATCCCAGCACTTTGGGAGGCCGAGGCAGGCAGATCATTTGAGGTCAGGAGTTCAAGACAAGCCTGGACAACATGGTGAAACCCTGTCTGTACTAAAAAAATAAAAAAATTAGCCAGGCGTGATGGCGGTTGCCTGTAATCCCAGCAACTCTGGAGGTTGAGGCAGGAGAATCACTTGAACCTGGGAGACAGAGGGTGCAGTGAGCCGAGATCATGCCACTGCACTCCAGCCTGGGTGACAGGGTGAGAATCTGTCTCAAAAAAAAAAAAAAAGTATTTACCTAACTATATGAATAAACTATTGAAATAATTAAATTATCCATAAGTATAAAATGAAATAAACACTAATTATCTGTTCTCTCTCTCTGTCTCCCTTCCTCCATCCCTCCCTCTCTCATCTGTGTTGCCCTGTGCTAAATTATTTCCCCAAACTATGAGTCCATATATATAGGTTCTTTTTCACCTTACTCGAGGCTGCAGCTATTATCTCCTGTTTCAGTCATTTATTCCTTCTGTCCCATTTTGACTTCAAAGCTACTAGGGGCACAAAAAAAAAAAGAGATAATTAAGTTTATTAGAATTACCTCTTTAATCAAAGCAAAATTTTTAAAAAATCTCCAAAAAAGGATTTGGAAATTCATTTCATAATGAAATATAAGTAAGCTTTGGATTTCATGAACCTTAAAAAATCAATTTTGGGAATCGAGAGGCCTTTTGTTCTACTCCATTCCTGACTCTTGGCTGTGTTGCAGGTAAATTAAAATGATATCCATCTGACCTCTGAATAAATAAAGTGCCACTGTGTGTATAGAAATGGTTATATTTAATATTATTTTCCCAAAATAATATATTTTGCCAGGTTATAACTTTGCAAAATATGGTAATAGTCACTGAAGAAAACCATTTTTCTCTTACCAAAGATTACGCTCAATTCTTTTTTAAAAGTTTTGTGAATTTAATGACACCTTAGGCTTAATGTGCTCTACTTTACAATCCAGATAGTTTCTCCTAAAATAGCTTGTTCTCTGTCAATGTTCCAGGAAATAATAGTCATTGTATTATCCTATGGCAAGGATTCCAATATAAAATTGTTCTATTCTGTCCAGAAAATTTACAAGTTTTAACTCTAAAAACTCATATTGACACAATCAATTTTCACTCCATTTTAGATCATATATTTTGAAAAGGTAATTAACTGAGAACTTGGATATGACTGTTCCTCCCCACAATCTCCTTGTAAAAGCAGCTACAACAGAAATAAAGTATTTTACCAAATAAAAAATAAATTTTTTTTCACTTCTCAAAACTTTTCAGAATACAAATTTAATTGGCTTATATTATATCCAGACCAATTATTTCTTAAATAATAATTAACTAAAATGATGAACGTTAGAGTCTTTTGTCAATCACAAATAATTATGTTAATTATTAGTCATTATGATCACTGGGAAATAAAGAATGTGAAAAAAGCATGCATAATAACATTAACGCATTTTGTTAAGTTTTTGATCTTGATGCATTGTTTACAATTATGAAAAGGACAGAAAATGTAATACTTCTGTTTTGAATTAATTTTTGGATTCCAAATATCATCAGGAAATGATACTATTATGAGTTCTTTATATCACCAAAACAAACAAAAACAGATTCAAATCCAGAGGATGAAAATATTTATACACAAGAAAATACCATTTTGGTACCTTTATTATTTGTAAGTGTTAACGTTGAACAATGTTAGACAAATGTCGTGATACCCTAATTCTACTCTTTTTTGTGTATTTTGTCTTGTTTTTGCTCCTCACATGTGACAAAATAAATTCAAGAATGTTATTCCAGTGGATAACTGTTATGGGGCCAGTACTGCTTGCCGAACAGGCCATACATATAGGAGGTGATGGTTTTCATGCTTTCTCTTCCTCATTCTGAAACTTCAAGCAACCAATATAGAAACTTAGCAGGAATGGTATTCCTTCATGTAAATAAATTTATCTAAGTTGGTGGTTTACGGACATTGTATTTCATAGGTCAATAACAACATTACAAAAAAAAAAAACTATTAGGGAACATCACAAAAGTTCTGCCCTTTACTTTTTCTAGTAAAGGACATTGTAACAAAATGAGAAGAAAGAAAAAGAAAGGCCATTTTAATACCTCCAAAACTGTTGAAACCCATAATTTTGAAAGAAAGGACAATTCTTGCATTAAAAAACTTTGCTTTATGAAAAGCTAAATAAAAAATTGCTCTTTTTTTTCTTTTCCTTATGGACCATTGAAAACTTCTGGACCATGGCAGACTGGCATTAGGATACCACTGACATAAAAATACAGAACAACCAACTCTGAAACTGCAGGGATTTCCACAGGAAGATGTTATACATTCATTCATTCAATCATTCATTCCACATATTTTCATTAAATACCTGCTCTGTGATAGACTCTATGTCTTGGGGAAACAGTGACTAACAAGATAGAATAGGCTCCTGACTTCATCAAGCCTACATTCTAATGATAGCAGACAAATTATAAACAAGTAAACATGCAAAGGTAACATTTGCAGATTGCAGTAAATATTAGAAGGGAAACGTCTAGCTGATGTTCTAGAGCATGATGGTAAGGATAGAATGGATGTGGCGAACGACATAAAATAGGTTGTCGAAGGCAGGCCACCTGTGGAGATAATGTTCACTCTGCATCCTGCAATGTGACGGGAGACCAGCAAGGAAATATCCAGAAATAGAGGCCCAAGTCAAAGGAAACATAATTGCAATGACCTGAGGTAGAAGACATCTTGGCAAGTTTAAAGAAGAGGAGGGCTTTGTAGCAGATTAAAGAGACCCTTTCCCATTAGGGAGGCCAATATATGAAGAGGACTAGATCTCTTAATTTTCCACATATGAAATACTCGAGTGTATCTACGAAGCAAGAAATGAAAATATAGTGACCGATATTATTCATGTTTCATGTGTGTTTATGATTGTCTAGATACTAACCAGTTAACACATTTTGAGCTTTATACGGGTCACAGATGGAGTTATATGTTATAGATAACTGTATTTGTTAGGTAATTCATTTATTTTTCATCACCCAGATAGTCTATTAACTAAGAAAGCACTAATTATTATGGAAAATTATGGACCTTCTGGAACTTTCCCCAGTTAATTTATTCTGGCGAGAAGTGCCCATGCACTGATATCCAGAAAAACAGTTAACAATGCCTCCAAATTATCTGAACATCTTAAGTTTGTACAGATATGGGCACTTGGATTATATTTAATCCATGCATCTTTCATCCATGGATTAGTCACCACTAAATATAGCTTTCCTCTGTTTTACATGCGTTAAAATAGCTATTTAGGAATTTTAAAAACTGCTCATGATTATAGCATATGGTGCTAAATTTGAGAATGCAATCAATTCGGACTTCCATTTAGTTCTCTTGGCTGTTACTAAATGGGTGCTAAACTATACTCAAAAGATTAAATAAAGGGTAAAAATGATAGAATGTTTTTAAGCAAAATTATGTTATAACATCAAGGCTATGTGAATTTGTATTATTCATAAAACTAAATTTTAAACAAACCTTAATTATTTCAAAAGCAACTGGATCATAAAGGAGGGCAGGAGAATTATCAGATAACTTACCAACTTGAAAATATTATAATCCTTTTATTTTGTGAAAATCAAAGTGGAAAACAATATACACTTGAATAGATTTTATTCATCTGTTCTCAGAATATGTTCCATACAATGAGAGTCTTAAGTAATCATTGAAGAATCAGAATGATTCACAGATGGTGCAAGTGATTTAATTATTTTTAACCAGTTGTTCTGGACATGCTCAGAAGGATATTTCCAACCCCACTGCAGAAGCCATCTGAGCTCCCTTCCAGCTGGTGTTCCATATTTTCAAAGCAAATTTAGATTGGAGAAAATTACACTTTATATTGTTGTGTTGCAAACGGAGGTCAAATTGCTGTGTATAAATTCTTGTTCTTTTTTTTCTTCATTGTATGAGTTATATTTATCAAATATCACGTCTTTTGTATGATTGCTATGGATTTGCCAATGGTATTTTACGTTTTGTGTTGTCTGGCACTTAGGAGGCACTAGATAAATGTTTATTCAATGAAAGAAATACCAATTCAGTGTATTCAAAATAAAACTTGAATTTATTTCTAGACTCACACTAAGTGTATGGAGTTACCATTTAACTGCATCCTCACCATTATTGGGAGGTTCCCATTAAAAATGAACAAAAAAAGGAAGAAACCAATGTAATAAAACAATACCACGATCACTACCCCCATCATCAAAGAAAATCATCAACAAAACTCTGTGTTAATTCAATAAGTAAAACTACATCTTGATGCTGGAACCCTGTCCCCTAATTTTATAGGATCTTAGGAAACCTGCTTGACAAATTTTCACCTTTTTAGGCTATCATAAGGATAAGAGATACCCTTTGTAAAAATTTAGTCTTGCATACTTCATAATGCGGAATGACTGTAACATCAGTCAAGAAACATAACTGATATCTGTAATCATTTCCACTATGCTAAGAAAAGGGAATGGAAGGAATATGGGCATCCCATTAATGTCCATAGTCACAATGAGAAGTAACAAACTGTTCCCAAATAGTTCTATCAAATGTAATAATTTTTCAAGGTTGTAGCATTCAAATAAAGATAATACTAACTTTAGTGAACCAAGTTTCCTCATCTGATGCTAAAAATGAGTTATATTTTTTTAATTTTATCAGTAACATTATATGATAGTAAAACTGCACATATCAATAATTCATCACTTCATTTTGTATTTATATCCAATATTTCTGAAAAATATATTAATCATAGATTTTGCAGTCAATATTTCCTGAAGAATGTGCTAAATTTCCACTTGATAGAAAAATTTGACACAGTATATTACTATGTTTTTTCTTATGTTTATTAATATATTTGACAACACATTGCATGATGACTGTAGTCTATTACTGTAACATTAATTCAGAAGATAAGCAAATATAAAATTGTATATCTAACAGAGCCATAATCTAACTATAAAATAATTGTGAATAGTAAGTGTAGCTTGACACATTTATTCTACTATTTTTATTTAACGTGCTACTTGAAGCCAGTCATTTGAGACAATATTCAAGAGGTAATATGTTGTATAAATCACGTATAAATGGTAAATTTGCTTAAACTTACAAGAATATTAAACTGTAATTAACATCTTATTTTATACATAGTGATGGCTTTGGACTAGAGATATTCGGAAAACACAAAATCCTATGTTCATATAGTTTCTTACTACCCTTGATGAATTCAATTAATGTTCTTAAACCTCAGTTTTCTATTTGGATTATTTGCTTTAACTTAATAGCTTGTCTTTATTTTTCCCTCTACTATTCAAAAATTGTATACTTCTATCGATTTAATGATTAGTATAAAATTCTTAACACGCACAAGAAATTTTGCAAGTTTTCATTCTAAGCACTAAGAGAATCTTAAAATTGCTTTATTCATTATTGATTAATTACTTATTTTATGAATTAAACAAATATATACTGTGTACCTAGTCACTGTTTTGGGTGTTGAGGACACAGCAGTGGGAAAAAAAGACAATTTTTTTTTGCATTGTTGGGTTGGAGCTCTACTTCTAGGTAGGGAAATAAATACTCAAGAAGATAAAGAAGGAAAATATTGAGAACTTTCCTGGTCATGCACTTTATTGAGAAAAATAAATGAGGAAAGCATGGATAAAAAGTGTGTGTGTGTGTGTGTGTGTGTGTGTGTGGTGTATGTGCACACATGAGAAAGATTCATTGAAAAAAACACTTTTGAGTAAAGAAGTTAAGGCAGAAACGAAAAGAGCCACATGGAGAAACGGGGGAGGATTATTTTAGGCAGAGGTAGCACACAATGCAATGGGTGCATGTCAGATCTGTGAAAGCAGCAGCAAAGGGGTCAACATAGGTGGAGCAGAGGAAAGTATTAAGAGATAAGGCCTGAGTTAAGAAGTGGGCCAGCCAGGTCAGATATCCCTTGAAATTCATGAAGAGTTTTGGATTTCACTTAAAAATAGATGGGAATTCATTGAAGGATTATGATCAGATTTAAATATGGTTTATATTTTTCAAATGTTGTCCCTGTGTATTGTGTAGAGATAGGCTAAAGAAAGCATGCGTAGATTTTTTTTTTTCTCTGAAAATTTGAAAGAACGGTGCTTCCACTGCATTTGAGGGGAAAAGAATAATTTTGTTTTAATCAAGTCACGAGGCTGGATGAAAACAGCAAGACATATATAGAATAAATAAAAATGGCAAGTGCCCAAGGACTGAGCACTGAGGCATTTCAGCATTAGAGAAGTAGGTACTACCTATGGAAACTGAGAAACAATACATAGAAAGGTAGCAGGTAAACTGGATGAAAAACTTAACCACCTTCTCATGTTTCATTGATGTCCAGCATTTTTCTGTTTTTTAATAGACACTTTCATACACGGTAAATGTTTATTTAAGACTTTTCCATTTTTTTACCATTTTCTTTGCACATCATTTTCTTTTGCAGCTTAAATCTTCCATCTTGTATCTTTCTCCTGCTTAAAGACCAATCTTGACGTCCTCTAAAGGGAATTTTATGCTAGTAAACGGTTTCTGTGTGTCTGAAAAGATCTTTATTTCAATGTTATTCCTGAAAGAGAGTTTCTATCAGTACACAATTCTAGGTTCCTACGTGGATGTTCTTTCATTGTTTTTGAAAATATTATTCTACCGTCTTCTGGCTTCTATCATTGCTCTAAAACCAGGTACCATTTTAAGTGTCACTACTTTCTAAGGAAATACAGCAGTATTTAAAATTATTTCTTTGCTTTTTTTGGATTCATCAGATTCATCGTCTCATAGTGATGATCTATACTTATATTTCTTTTTTTTAATAATCTTTTCTGCTTCAGATTTGCTCAGTTTCCCAATCGGAGTATTGGAATTTCTATTAAGTTTTGAAAATCCTAAGCTATTATCACTACAGATAATGCCTCTTCTCCATTGTGGGTAGGATTTATTTATTCCCCTTTACAGCTGAGGGAAGCCCTTGAAAATTCAGACTTTAAGGAGGGGTTTTATTTTCACCTCTATATTATGTGTTGTTGAAGGTCACATATTTTGTCCTAAAAGGTCTTGAAAACTTCTTCCTAGCCATTAG
Organism: Homo sapiens; assembly: GCF_000001405.40. Lineage (NCBI taxonomy): Eukaryota > Metazoa > Chordata > Mammalia > Primates > Hominidae > Homo > Homo sapiens. The sequence continues at coordinate 32,333,851 of NC_000023.11, forward strand.
GCTCTCAATCCAGGTTCAGTTTCACGTAAGATGATTTGATCATTCATGGCACACAGAGGGAAGAGAGGTTCCACCATAGCCCAGCTGTGTATTTAAAACTTTTAAAAATTATATTTTATTCAGAATTTCCACGCATTTGAAGTGAGGGGGTGAGGAATTAAGTCAGTCTGTCATCTTTCTGGAAGCTGATACTCGCTGAACATGCCTCTACTTAACCATTAAACTGATTATGCTACACAACTAGACACTAGAACAAAAAAACTCCGTACAAATATTTATAACCACTATGATCATCAACAATCTAGAAAAACATAAAATGTTAGCTAATTTCTTTTTTAATCCTTGTAATATGTTAATTACAAAATTGAGCTGAGAGGAGAAAAATTCTACAAACAGCTACATCCTGGTGCAACATTTCCCTTAACAACCATTATTAGTCTTTTGTATTTACAATTCCATTTGCTAAAGAACATTCTGTCTCTAAATAAGAAAATCATTTATCTTCCCAAATTCTCCAAGGATGTTGCACTGGCAGCTGACAATCTTTGTTGTTATTTCAAGGCAAAGAAGAAAATCTATGTGGCAATTATGCAAAGACAATATATTTCCCCTAATTTTATTCTCAAAATGAGTTGCTTTTATTACAAGATAGGAGACAATATAAAAAATGTGTAGCAGACCATTAAATCTAGGCTCAGACATTATTTTACATAAGGTGGTGGCAAACAGTTCTGTTATTACTTTTCTTGTACATCTCTGCTTAAATTTAAGGAAATCCCAAACAACAGAAGAATAATGATACGGTGATGTTCTTCCCATTTTTTTCTAAAGAATATTCTTATTTCACCATCACTCAAATAAGAAACCTTTCATCAATCTGAAATCAAATTTCCCTTTTCTACTGCAACTGTCTAGATGTGAAAGTCTATAGAATCTAACCCCTTCATAGAAAGTCATAATCCCATTAGCATATCAAACGCACTAGAAAGTTATAGAGTAAGGAAAGTTTGCTTAATCTACTGTTTACCAAAATTGTTTAAACACTGAAACTTTTTTCCTTTTTTATTAATAACTCCCACCATGTTTTGGAAAGCAGTGAGTTCAAGTTTGGCGTCTTCCATTTCTCAGATGTATCCTTGGACAAATCTCTTAACCTCATTTATGCTAATTTTTCTTACAGTAAAATGACAAAGAAAATGATACTTGAGAGGGTCATTACTGTGATCAAACTAGATGCATGTGAAAACTCTTTGTGAATGTATAATACTATTCAGATTCAAACAACTTAAAAAAGTTAGTGGAAAAATATTCACAATATATAGGTGTTTATTTTACAAATTTATTCAATTAAGGACTACTTTTTTTTCTTGAGGCGGGGTCTCAATCTGTTGCCCAGGCTGTAGTGCAGTGGTGTGATCCCTGCTGACTGTAACCTCTGTCTCCCAGTTTCAAGCAATTCTCATGCCTCAGCCTCTGAGAAGCTTGGATTACAAGCAACTGCCAGCAAGCCTGGCTAATTTTATATATAAAACATATATAATACATATATATAACATATATATATAACTTGTATATATATGTTATATATGGATGTATATATGTATATACATGTATATATAACATGTATTTATAACATTTATATATACATGTTATATATATAACATGTGTATGTTATATATAAAACATGTTATATATAACGTGTATATGTTATATAACATGTTATATACATAACATGTGTATGTTATATATAAAACATTATAAAACAAACATGTTATATACATAACATATACATAACATGTTATATACATAACATATACATAATATGTATATATAACATATAACATGTTATATACATAACATGTATATATAACATGTATATACGTAGAACATGTGTATATAGGCATAACATGTATATATAAAACGTTATATATGTATAACATGTTATATATAACACGTGTATATATGTATAACATGTTATATATAACGTGCATATATAACATGTTATATTCAACGTTATATGTGTATAACATGTTATATATAACATGTTATACATATAACGTGTATATATGTATGTTATATATAACGTGTATACGTGTATGTTATATATAACGTGTATATGTGTATAACATGTTATATATAACGTGTATATATAACGTTATATATAACGTGTATATATAACGTTATATATAACGTGTATATATAACGTTATATATAACGTGTGTATAACATGTTATATATAACGTGTGTATACGTACATGTTATATATGTTATATGTAACATGTGCATACGTGTATAACATGTTATCTGTGTGTGTATAACATGTGTATATATGTATAGCATGTCATATATATACATGACATGTTATATATGTTAGCCAGGCTGATCTGGAACTCCTCCTCAAGTGATCCGCCCACCTCGGCCTCACAAAGAGCTGGGATTACAGTTGTGAGCCACCACGCCCAGCCAAGGACTATTTTAAATAACACATTTATTGCAGCATTTAATCTACAAACAAGGTTAATTTTCTATCAGCCTTCCAAGAGCATGTATATTTTGGAAATGTGTACTTTAATTTTGTCAAAATATCCCATTACAATTACTCTGCTGTAGGACAAGCTATCCATTGCAATACAATATTGTAACCCTCTTCATATTCATCTTTTACCACCTCACTTTTATGTTCCAGAAGCTGTGTCTTTCCTTAGTATGCCTACTTCTAGAAGTAACCGTAAGAGAAACTGATGTTCTGAACGAGCAGTCTTAAACTCCGAATTTGCATACATAAGTATAGGGAATATAAAACATTTATAACAGAAACTACTACATTACATAACCAGATTATACATCAAAGTTCTACTAAATATTCATTGTTCCTAAATGAAAGGATATCTAAATAAGTTATAGCACCTATGCAAAATTCTAGGTGAAAAATATTCCATTAGAAAAATATGTTCAAAGATACTGATATGGAAATGAAATTGGTTGTGTTTAAGTATAGAAAAGAAACCTTTAGGCCTCTATGTTAGCAGAAGAGCAAAAAGGGAGACAAAGTGTGAGTAACAGAAGTGATAGGAAGGGGCTACATCATATAGCGGATCACAGGATTTCATTTAAAGAGTAATGGGCAGGAGGGGCCTGATATGATCTCATTAACTCCTTAGAAGGAGCTCTCTGCCTTCACCAGGAGAAATATGGTGTAAGTGGGGAAAGACTGGAAGAAGAGGTTAGAGGTTGTTGAAGTAATCCAGATGAGAGATAATAATCTTGTAGATTAGCACTTCCATAACAGATACGGAGGAGTGATTTGATGCATTTTGCAGGTATATCCAACAAGAGTGGAAATAATTTACATGGTAATGTAAGAGAAAAGAATCATGAAGGATGTCTAGGTTTCTGACTTAAGTAAATAATAGTGCAATTTAATAACATCTGGAGATGTTGGTAGATGCCAATTAACGTAGATGGGGGGTGGATCATTTATTTTTCACTTGGCTATTGTATGTTTGAGATGCTCATTAGGCATCCAAGATAAGAGACTGTTGGATATAAAATGTTAAACATCAAGATCATATACTTGGTATTTGATGTCATAACATGCTCAGCTCAAGTGGAAATGTATTTAGAAAATGGACATTTCTTTTTCTTCACTGAAGTGGGCTTTTTTTTGTATTTTTTTGCTGCTGTTCTTGGAAAGGTCATGTATGTATACATATTTCAGAGGTTTAGCACTTTTTTGCTATCTAGAAACATTATAATTGGTAATAATTTACATAGAACACATTATGCACAAGCCTTATATTTGTTGCCATTATCTCGAATAAGTCTTGTTTTTATCTCCCTTTACATAGCATATGTAATATGCAGGATATGAATTAAGGATATGTAATTCATAGGATATGCAATAAGTCTTCTATTTGATTTCTCTCTCTTTACACAGGATCAGTCAAACACTGCATTCTCCTAGTATTCTGTGTTTTCCTTGGTGGCACTGACCAAATTTTAGGATTATAAGCTTTTTTAATAAATGTTCTTATTTACAGAGAAAACAATTTTATACAGCTTTACATCGCTGTCTCCTTCCTTCTAGTTTCATTTTATTTTACACAAATATATTGCTTAGTAATTATTTTAGCAAAAATCTATAGACAAGAAATTCTTAGTTTTTGTTCAGGTGAAACTAGCTGTATGTCTGAGAATATTTTGCCTTAATTCTTGAATCATGTTTTACCTGGTATTTGAAAATGTGCCTAGCATTTTGAAGATATTATTCAACTGTCTTCTAATATCTATTGTTGATGAAAAGTCTTCAGTCAATATTGTCATCCTGTAAATGTTCTTTTGTCTTAAGTAACCCTTAATGATACCTTTTTGATTACTGATGCTCTGAGTTTCATTCAGAGCTAGCTGGTAGACTTGTTTTTATTTTTTCCACGTTGGTTGACCTTTATTGAATTTGAGGATTCATTAAAATTTACATTTATTCCATTTTATTAAATTTCATTAATATGAAATATTGTCTCTTCCCCATAATCCCTATTTTTTTCAACTTGAAACTTATTTCACGCAGATGTTTGAGGGATTAATTATATTTTCATTTCCAGACTTTGTTTTTTCAAATCTTCGTTTTCACTTTATATAATGGCCTATTCTTACTGGAAAAAAATCCATTTAATTTTTATTTTTGAACATTAAAAATTACTTAATATCCTTTGGTGATTATCCTCTTATCTCTATTTTCTTCAGGTATACATTCTCCTTTTAACGTTTGGCATCTGATAACATTGCTTATAATTTTTTTCCACAATAATCATAATTTTAGTTTGTAAGCTTATGTTCCTTAGCAGTTTCACATGACCCTTGGGGGTTGTAGTGGTATCTTCATTGTATAATTTTGTGTTTGCAAATGCCTGGGCTCTCTGAGGTTATTTTCCAAATGCTACAATGATGTGAGGGGCAGTTTAGGGAAAATCATGCCCTTTCTTGGCAGTCATCAGATTTGTGTGATATTTCCTGTGTTTATTCTGTGAATCTAGAGAAAAGTATCTGCTTATATATTATAGAATTAAATTTGAAATTTTCACTGAACGAGATATCTGTTGTTAACATTTTAAACAAATGCTGCGTACTTAATTCTCTTAATGACTTATGAAAATATTTTAAAAATTAAAGATTATGTCTATTTTCCAATGTTAATATATATACAGAAAGGAGACGAAGAAAACTTTCATGCATTGAGCCTGCATAACGCAGCAGGTGTTTGACAAATATTACCTTATTTAATCCTCAGAAACATCCTTATCTCTATTGTACAGATGAAGTAAATGAGACTCAGTTTATCCCTGATCATACAGCACTCAAAGTCACTGGGATTCATATTCAAGGCTGTTTATCCAAGAGTTAATTTTACTAGACCACACTGCTGTGATAGTACATCCTATAGAACTATCCCTTTTCCTCAGTTTACAGTCCGTGCTTGGTCTTAACTGAGGAACCTAGTTTCTAAACCAACAGGAAATATATTAGAAATGATTGGAATTCCTAATTAAGGCAGGAGTTCTCTCATTTTGAATATCTGGTAAAATTTTTACCTGCGTCCTCCCAGTCTCATGCCTCTTTCTTTATCATCTCCAGGTTTGCCCTGAGGACCACAATTTGCAGATACCCTCTACTATGCTTTGGTCTGCATTCCTGTGTGGCTGGGCGCTGCCTCATGATTGTTCCCTCAAAGTCTCAGTCCTTTTCTGAGCTTTATTACTACCATATATAGCTCTGACATGGACAGAGTCCCCTAAATGCCTTAATTTTACAGTGGTTAGCACTTCTCTGAGTCTTTATCTGTGAGATAAGGAAAATTAATTTTTCATTTTAAACTCACTCAGCTCTCACATACTAAGCATTTTAAGAGTACCGCTTACTATTTCAACATGTTGCTGTAAAGACATGAAAGATGAACTTTAAGCCTACAGTTTATATCTAGAAAAACAAAAAGGGACAGTTAGGAAAAGTAAAAATCAAACAATTAGAGAAGGAGAATATAGGGGGAGGTAAGAAATTCTGAAGCTATGGCATATGCTGCATCAGAGCCATTGTAAGGTTATATCAAATACTACTTTTCATTAAGCTGTTACTGTGACTATCACAAATGACTCTAGGGCGTAAGAATTGGGAAAGATAACTCTAATCAGTGGCCACAGTGAAATTAGTTTTAAAATGCATTGACAATTGGTCAAGTATAAAGATGTATCTTGAATATTTCTACACCCACCTGTCTATCTATCTACCTACCAACCTATATACCTACTTATCATCTATCAATTATCCCTCAGTTCTAATTAAAATACGATGCCAAATATAACTGCAATATTAAATTGATTATTCTTCATACAGATTGTGATTACTTTATTATCATGGATAATTAAGAGTTAACACAAAAATAGCCCCCTTCACATTCTGAATTTTGGATCTTTAATATATAAAACTTAAGAATAAATCGTTTATGAGGAAAATATATCCCAGAATTTTACTACAATTTTTTAAAAATATATACTGGTTCACACATGCTTCCTTTATTTCACCAGTCATTATTACGTTGTACAAATATTTGTTGAGAGCCTACTATGAATAGGGACATAATGGCATTTTAAGTAAGTGGTTTATGGAGATTTTTGATCCTGTGCCTATTTAGCCATAAAGCATTAGCAACTTGATTAGTTTGTAACGAATTTTAAACCTGCATATTGGGTGTGTCAAGACCTGGGGAAAATTGGAATGGAGAAATGAGTTAGTAGTCAGATAATTCAAAGCAAAGGACTCCCCCTTGAATGATCTATTAAATTGAGGTGAAACTATTTTATTAGAATTTTCTTTTTGATTGCCTTAATCTTTCGCTTCATTTTGCATCTGCAGACACAGGCTTGCTGGTTAGTGTAAGGTTATTTATGACACATTACATTCATAACATCTAATATGAAGGATAATAGGCTGAAACATTCAGCCAGGTGGAATTAGACTTCACATGCAATACAGTTTCGCTATTTCTCGTATTCTTCCAATTGCTCAGAATAATTCACCTGCTATTAAACTTTAGGGTATTAGATTTAACAGAAAACAGTGTATTTATTAATTTTCTTGAAGTATTAAAAGAAGTCACAATAATATGCAACATACTTCCCTTATATGCTTATAAAATTAAGTTATGGTAACTGCTTTTGACATTTTAAAAATATACACCAAATTAAATGGAACTGACACTATCACAGAAGAAGTTCCCAAGAAGTCTCATACATGGGCTGAACCCTATGCAGTTATTATTTACATAGGGCAAAATGGTTGAGTATCTGTTTGATTCATATAATTCAACCTAACTTAACTATAAAGACTTAGTTTCCAGATTTTGACATCCTGGTTTTGTGAGGAGTACTTTCTTCTATAATTACAGATGATGATCATTCCTCTTCATCTTACAAGTGTTAATAATAGGAACAAAAATGTACCTGTCAGAAAACCTCTATGGTTTATACCTACTACAAATAAAGAAGTGAGACCAAGCTAACAATTCTGAATCGCCTTTTTAAAGAGAGAACCATACACTTTCCATTCAGTTGTTTGAAAGAAGAGCAGTCACTCCTTTTTGTTTTGGCTGGTAACATTTCAGTAATAACATTATCTGATATTGTTCAATCTGCAATCAATTAGCAACCATCTTACTAGGCATCCAGTTCTTTTATGGGCACTGTAACCCATTAAGTAGTTAAACCAGGTGTGAGGATTAAGCTATTATTCTTCAAGTCAATGAGATAATGGCTTATGCAGGTTGACATAAGATGTACCATGAAATATTTATTATTTATCATGTATACATTAAGAAAGTAAAATCAGCATGGGATGATCTCAGGAAAGCAATACATATTTTTTGGATTAGACATTGAAGTAAAGTGAATGTATGATAAATTGACAAATTAACATTGCCAATGTTATGAAAAATGATGTAGCAAAAAAAATTAAGATGTATTTTCATTTTTGATAAGGGGTTTTCCCTGTTATCTGTTAATTTCTTGTGTCTTTAATTGGCAAAATTAAGCACTAGTGTTACAGAAGCCCAAAGTGAGGGAAACCACTCACTTTCAGAATGTACATTAGAAGTTTAAAACTGTACCCAGATTTTTTGTCTCTTTTTTTTTTATTAGTAGGCCTCTGTTAATAGAGTAGTAGTTGCAAACACATACGTGGGTTTGCCAGTAACAACTCACAATTTGTGCAAAGTTGAGTCTTCGAAACTGAGCAAATTTGCTCTCAATTTCCCGCCAGCGCTTGCTGAGCTGGATCTGAGTTGGCTCCACTGCCATTGCGGCCCCATCCTCAGACAAGCCCTCAGCTTGCCTACGCACTGCATTCAGCTCCTCTTTCTTCTTCTGCAATTCCCGATCAATTTCCTATTGAGCAAAACCAATACAGGGCCCAGGGCAGTTAGCTAACCACATCAACCGACTTGCAAGCAGCAAATACTTCTCTCAAAATTTCAAAGGCTGTTGTCCCTTTATTGTCATCCTTTGAAGTTTACAAATATGAAAGGCATGACTGTCATCCTCGCTCAATAACCCAAATATTATTTCAGTTATCCTTTGAATGCTTGGTTTTAGATATTCTAATTAAGTAAATATTGAAATTGGTCTAACATTTTCTTTCTTCTAAATTCCTCTGGTGTCTTGGGATTTGAAACAATTTGGAGTGATAACTCATTATTTATTAGGGACCGTCCACATAGAATATAATTTAGAGGGTAAGTGAATAAGTTATTTATTTCCTTTTTAAAGGTTTGAGGAACTCAACAGAGAATGAAGCAAAATAAAAAGTGTAAAATAATAACAGAAAAAAACATATTTAGACAATATGCAAATAAATCTATAGAGAGTGAACACTGATGTGTGAAGATGCTCTGATGAAATGAATGGGCTAACATGAGTAAGAAGTCGTCCATATACCGATAAGTCATTAGTTCATCTGGAACAAAGATACACAAAGTCAATTACAATTTTACCAGAAAACACATCACATTTCTTAAATCACTTTACATAGTCTAAAACATTTTATTCATTCAACATTACGTCAATTGAATAACACTTAATACAATACATTTACTGAAAACAACACACAATACAAGGAAATGCATCAAATCAAAGAGAACGTTAATAGAAACAAGAACATCAACATTTTAAATATGATCTTCACAGGTTAATTAAACTGTATAATAAAATCTGGTATTGACATTCTAAAACAACATTACCTTTATTTTCCTTTCATCTCTGGGCTCAGGTAGGCTGGCTAATTTTTTTTCAATGTCATCCAAGCATTTCAGGAGATCATCAGCCTGCCTCTTGTACTGATACCACTGATGAGAAATTTCTAGAGCCTTTTTTCTTCTTTGAGACCTCAAATCCTGTTCATGGTGCAGACATTATTAAAATATCAATATATATGTATAGTGCACTTCTGGCTGCAGTTATTTATCAAAATAATTTGCGTCCCTCATCTTTTTGTACAACTTAGGTTAAAATCATATTTAAATGCAAAATATACAAAGACATAATTAAATTGCCTATGCATGAGGCGGGACCCATGTATAGGAAGCTAAGAAACCTGAATAACACACTTAAAGTATTTTCTCTTAGCATGTTCAAACTTGCTTAAAAATTTTGTCACATTCAATTGACTCTTAATGAGCTAACTGTTGTGTAGTTTATGTGCAAGAGTTTAATATACGAATACAATTGACTTAACTAGATACAAACTCACAAACCTAGTGAGTTTGTATCTGACTTAAAATAGGTAAAATTCTAAAATGTATATCTTTAGCCTTGGGGCTCATCAACAAAACTTTATGTACTCAACCAATATACATTCATGTTTTTAGAAATGCCTACATAAGAGTTTCATAGGCCATTAATATTTTATGATTAGAAATATAAAGCCATTTTAGTTGTCTTATAAACTGTTCCAAGCTGTATGTGTAGAAGTGTCACCACTGTTCGTATATTGGTGAACATAACTAATAAAAAATTATGTGAGATAAATGCTTCTCCTTCCAAGGCTTGCATAGCCACATTTATCTTACTATACCAAATCATGCTCTAAATGCAAAACAATTAACTATTTGAAAAAAGAAAACAGCAAGTGCATGCTTTCAAATCAATGTGATAAGACTAATTTAATAAATCAACAATGGGAGGAAATCAGTCATCATGCTCTTTACAAGCACACTCAATATCTTCTGTGATTAATAGAATTACTCAAAATGCCATTTTATAATTCATGGGAACATAAGCTCTGCATGCAGCTTTCATTTCTACAGAAAGTAGCAATTAGGGTTTTATTCACAGGTTTAATTCGAGCGAAAAAATAATAAATATCAGGGAATTTCTAAAAATTTCATTCCATTGGAAAATTTTGACCTTCTCTAAAATATTTCATAAGGACCAGAATTGGAACTATTTGACAGGTTTAAAAAGTTATTGAATATGTTGGTATAGATTGGTTTGGCGAGTAGTGTTGACGATTTTGATTAATCACTTATAGCCTGTATTTGCAAGAATGAACTACATTTCATTATCTAGTTTGTTTAAAATTGGGAATTTAAACCTTGCTGTACTTTATGTTTTATGTTGAATTTTCAAACCTTCTGAGGAGTCAGATCGAACGCTGCTTTTTTCAAAGGTAGCAAGATACAGCCACGTGAATTAGAGTTGAGCCATGCCTTATTTGTGACATAACTCACATCTTTGCCAGGAGAAAGGGCTTGGTGGTCATCAATCTGAAACATCTTTCATTTCCTAAGCACAAAGTGATGTATAATATGTAAAATATTTAGAGATGTCATGTAGATTTCTTTAGAGGAATGCCAGATGACCATTAAACACTGCTATTCAGTAGGACACACACCATCATACGACCAGTGTAGATACTTCTGAAAGCTTGCTCACAGTTGGAAGGGTGTGAGTTACATAGCGTTCCGATTTTCTAGACACATTATGGTGTGCTTTTGCACTCCCTCGAGGAAGAGGCCTTTTCTGTTTACTATATTTATCAGCAGTTACCTTCAGAACACCTGCTGGCCAATTAGACTTTCCTTGTGGATTCCTTGCAGGCACAATATTGTGTAATTACATTCTCAGCAGTGTTTATTTGGTTGACTATAGGGGGAAAGGTTTTATTCTCTTATTTGCATGTAGAAAGCAGACTCCATCTACCTGCTAGGTGGATCCACCTTCATAACTACATAGCTCAAAAGAGTGATTTACAAGGAAAAGCTCAGCAATTAAAAGTATTAGAAAATCAGCCATGCATGCAAATAGTGATTATTGCAAAGCATATACAAAAAAAAAGTTTCACAAAACTTTCCACATGTCTAGTCTCAAGAACTTCCTAGATATTATTATAGAAAAATTAAGTTTATCCTGCTCTTCCTGCACAAACCAGATGAGTCACCTGGGGACTTGAAGCCATACACTACACTGCTTAATATGAAAGTAGCAGTTCTTATTCAAGGGCACTAAGATTATTTTTTAGGATTCCTACATAAATGAAATTTGACTTTGTAGATAGTTGCAAAGAGTGACTTTCTTAAAGGCATAATAAAGTTTTAAAAATAAATAAAAGAATCTAGGGCTTATTAAACAAGTATCAGGTTACCAAAAAATTGGACCTAATGCAAGCAAAATCAATTAAGTAAAGAAAGCAGGAATAATGGATACATGTAGATCGGTTATTCTGGCAGTTAGGCAGGTTTTTTTCAATATAAAGTAGCTGATAAAAATAAAGCACATTAGAAAATTAAATGTATAAGTACTATGAATGCATTCCCATCTTTCAATTACTACTTAGAAAAATATGTCTTTAAAAAGCCATAACTTTTAAGCAACACATCGTTCAAAATCAAATACCACTCAAAAATGTTAAATAAAGCATACACATTGAACAGAAAAAGTGAGTTTCTGATGACTAAGTCTGAAGCAGATTTTATTAATGCACATTATATTTTACCCTATATATTAAAAAAAAACCACAGGCAAGGTATATTATAATTTTAGCTCTAATACCTTGAGAGCATTATGTTTTGTCTGTAACAGCTGCTGTTTTATCTTTATTTCCTCTCGCTTTCTCTCATCTGTGATTCTTTGTTGTAAGTTGTCTCCTCTTTGCAACAATTCTTTTACAGTACCCTCATTGTCTTCATTCTGATCAAAAACAACAAGTACAGTCTTCATTTTGGTTTTTAAAAAGCTGTACATTGTTAACAGAGATAATAAGACATGTTATTTAAACACACACAAAAATCCAATTTAAAACTTTCATGGAATGCTATTATAAGATACTGTGCTCATAGCCTTTCTTTTACATTTGGTACTTGAGGTTTCAAAATAAGTTTCCTCCCATCTAGTTGTAAAGAACACATTTTTAGGGGCACCTGTAGAAAGATGGGGGAGTGTGGTACTTCATCATGTCAGACAAGTCATGAATTACTGTGAAAGTATTCTTTTGGCTTTTTTAGTGTAGTTCTAGAAATTAAAACATTAGAGAAATGAGCTAAAGTTATCATTTATAATGTTAACTGATCCATAAAGGAATACAGATGTGTATTTGTGACTGAGATAACAGCAAATCTGAAAATATTAACACACAACTACATGAAAATATTTTGATTTAAATGTACACTAATTCCTATCTAATAACTCCTGCTTCATTTCTGAAACCTAAATGCTCAATATTAATAGGAGAAATATCAGGATATTAATAAAAATCATGTGCTAAGTTACCATCAAATAATTTCTAAAATATGTCATATATGCATGTTAATTTAAATACGATCAAATAATACTAAAATATGGACTGGAAAATGGCTTTAAACATTTTCAATGGGTATTTTGTTCCTTTAGGCTGCAAGAACAATATCTTAATTTTCTTTACTTAGAAATAAAATGTTTTGAATAAATGCTGGTCTAATATAGTCGCATATATGACCATGTGATTTTTCACCTTTAGTTTTCTTTCTTTCAACTCAGAATGTGAAAACTTTGTATCAAGTAGTCTCACATTGTAATGGTACTCAAGGTACACTGATGACATAAGGAAAACAAATAATAAATTTCAAAAGTCACAAGTATTTGTATGTGTGTATTACAATTCAAGGAATTAGATGTTATATATTTAAATCTATAATGCATAAACTTCAACACGCAACTGAGGACTGATTCATTTTGTATGGGGGAAAGGGATTATTTTTGTCAGAGACTGGTCAATAATCTAAAGAAACATACGGCATAATATAGACACATTATATACTTATCATAATATAGACACATCATATACTTATAGTCTGTAAAAGACTTTACTTATTTTAAAAGGTGTTGTAAAAGTCTGTAGCATTTTCTAGGGCTGAGGACAAAAACAACAAAAAATTAAAAAACCCACTTCACTTCTTTCCCTATACCAGTTGAGGGCTCTAGGGCAGAGTTGGGGTCAGCCCAAGAGGTAATCAGTACTTTTTTTCATCTTGGTGCCCTCTAGTTTCTTCTTTGACCTGAAGTAGAGATTGCTGTAACTCAGCAACTTGGAAAGCCTCTTCCGTCTTTCCACAAGCTGAGTTGGCAAGGCCACCAAACCCCATACATGGGGAGTATTGATTGAGGCAGCTCCAGGAAGTGGGAACTAAGATTGGTGGGAATAGTTCTCCTATTGCTTCACACACTTATTACCTAAAATTTATATATTGTCTTCTGATGTCACTTTCAAGCATTGTCTGAGAAGGCTCTAGCACTGGTAATTGTAAAGGTTAAGAATGCCACAGAGGTGATGGCAGTGAAAGAGGGGAAAAAATTGTGAAAAGGAGGATGAAGAGAGAAAAAAAAAGTCAGTTAATAAGGATGTGATGTACAAATATTCAAGCCAGAGAGAAATGTAGTAGATACTTTGAAATTAGTTGGGATTGAAGGAGAATATTCTGAGGTTGGGAAGAGCACACATGGTCATATTTCTTTACTCCCATGAAATAAGCAGCATGAATTTATACACATTTTAGACATATAATGTACTAACTAAACAACTATTTGGTAAAACAACTTTGTGGGAAATTGTAATAAATAATGTTCATATTATGCATTATTCTCTCTTCATTGAAATAAATGTTATACTACCAAAAACATTGCTGATACAAAATGTCAGTCATCTATGATAGTTGAGTATTTTATTAAATTTTTAGTTTATTTTATGATTCGACTCTTTTTTCCAATTACATTTTGCCCTTGATAAGTTCAAAAGTAGGTCAGGTCAAAAGAAAATTGCTGGGCTATTTATTAGAAACCGTAAGTGCTCCTATATTACCATACCATAGTAATTCAGCATTTGTAATAAAAGGCCAAGAATATTCTGCATTTATAAAATTCATTAGAATCATAAAATGTGTAATATGTGCTCTGAAAATTCAGTTGGAGACTTATCTAAGTTCTTTCCAAATATTTATTTCCACTCCTAGTTCATTCACACTTTTATCACAACCAATTTACCATATCTTTATTGAAGTCTTCCTCTTTCAGATTCACCCCCTGCTGAATTTCAGCCTCCAGTGGTTCAAGCAATTTTTGTATATCTGAGTTAAACTGCTCCAATTCCTTCAAAGGAATGGAGGCCTAAAAAAAAAGATAGTGCTACTTTAAATCAAAATTACTTTTTATTAGAAACATAAACCAAAAGAAATACATTTATTCAACCTCCTGTTGCTAAACTAATCACATGCATTATGTTTCCATATTATGTTTTATGAAGGGTTTTGAAATACAACTGGAAAAGTACCTGAGGATGCAAATAAGGAGAAACATTTCACATCACCAGAGCTGAACATACATGCAAGATAGTACAATTCATCATTTGGTGATATCAACAACAGTCAATTTACAGATACATTTGAATGGGCTAATTTTTAATATTCTAAAGTCAAATTTGACCTTATTTTAAATATTCTGATATAAATACATTTGGGTAAATATGTCTCATCAGAAATTGCCTCATTTATCAAGTAACAGTAACCTCAGGTAGAAATGCAGAATTGTCATCTTATCCTTAGAAAAACTACATGGCAATCTGCTCAGATGTTTTAAATGACATTTTTAGCACAGCACAATTGACAGGCATGCTCTTCTAAGACAATGCCATTAGCTTGCCTTAGGAACAGTTTGGTTGGTGATGCAAATAAATTCAAACGAATGAACCTAATATATTTCACATAAAGAATCTATGCTTTTCAACCTTGTAAACATCAGTTTCTTTACTTTTGAACTGATAATGACCAGTCTAAGAAAACTTTAAAATCTCTTGACTTTCTAAACAAAACCCTTGAAAAGGAGTGATAAGTGAAAAGACATGGAAAATCAAATATATATTCAAAAAAGTGGGCAAGGTTTAGTTATTAGATTAAAATTCTGTTAATAAAATACATTGATACTCTCTCAATCTTTATGCTGTATTTCTTTCCATTAAAACACTAGAACATATTTTATATGGGATAGCTCTTGAAAACCCATAGATGACATACAGAAATCTGATTTTCTTTCAGAGCTAAAACATTTTACTTTTGTAAAACCAATTCAGGAATGACCCCCGTGTCTTTTGCCAAGACGATTACATTCATCAAGTTTGGTCCCCACCTACCCTTCTCCAGTCACATTCCCAGGAAGAGGTTGAATTTTTATTAGATGGCAACTTCTGGTGAACAATACGGATAAGTGTAGAAGAAAAACTAAATATCTAAAGGTAATAATCTGTCACTATTGAAGAAGTGAATAATCAAATTCTATTCATGATGACATGATTCTCATATGCAACATGAATAACCACATATCTTCTAGGTACTTCTACACACCCCTGAAAGATTTATGAGATAATTTTAAGTGACCTATTACAGTACCAGTTTTTAAATCCTAATGATCATTTGCCATTTGAAATATCATAAGTTATTTGAACCAGTATAGATTGGTAGTGGTACAAACATGCTTAAAGTTTCAATGTCTGTATTATTAGCAATTACGGTACAATAAAATCATACACTGTTTAGATGACGGTAAAAGTAAAAAGATTAACAACCCTTAGAATCATAACTATACAATTATCAATTTGGTGATATTTTATGTTATTAAATGGTTGTTCACATTTGCTAATATTTAATGAAAGCAACTATGTTCTATGTGATTTTGTGAATACATAATGATAATGTTGAAAATAACTTTTATTGTGTACTTGGATGTCAGAAGAACATAGGTCTATTTACAGTCAGATTTACCTGTTTTATTCCAACTGCTTCTTCTCTAGCTCATCTCTCCATGAATTTAACTTCTATTAATTTAAGATACAATTTTCTACGAATTTAACAATTTTTTATGCCTTCCAAGTCTTCACCCTAAGCTGTTATCTGACTTTTGAATTCCCATCTAGACTCTCCAATAGCCAGCTGAATTTTCACCTGAAGTTTCACATTCCTAGTATGGAGCACATTATCTTTCCCGCAAACTGCTTACAATACTAACTTCCCTAGTTCTCTTAATGGAAGACCATTTCTCTCAGTCATTCAGGCGTAAAACGTAAGTCATGCTATTTTTGAACATCTCACTCTAATGTCTAATAAATATCAAGTAAGTGTCAATTGACTTGCTATGATCCACTTGCTTTGTATTCCCAGAGACTCCATCGTTCCTGGTCCTTACACAAAACTAAGGCAATAAGCTTTGAAAAGATGTAAAATCTCCTTTCAGTCAAACCAGTTCCAGCCTGTGCCCAATGATCAGCTTACTATGTTTCAAAAACCTTTCTTTCATTATGCTATTTATTTGCTGAAGAACCTCCTGCATCTATTGAGTATAAATAGAATAAAGTCCAACCTCCAGCACAGTAGTCAAGGCTTCTCCTAATCTTGCCCCAAAGACTTGCCAGCCTTATGTAAGTGTTCCTAATATAGACCTTTTTTTGCAGGCCATTTGGTGATCTTCTGTTATGCCTCCTTCAATGACCTTAGAATACTTTTCATCTTCTAGTGAAGAACATAAACTTCTGTATGAAAATGCATAGATTGAATCTGGGCTCTACCATTTACTAGCTGAGGGAACTTAGACAAGTTATTTATCCTCATTGAACCTCAGTTTCTTTATAACATGGAGATAAGATGAATATCTACCTCACAGGGCTATTACTAAGATCAAATATGTTAGAATGGTGTCTGGTATATAATAAAAGCTTAATAAATGTTGACTATTATTTTCTCTCAAACTTCTATGTGTCCATCCAATATAAATACATGCTCTATAAATCTTGGGTCTTATTTTGATCCTCTCAAAATCCTAATCATCCATTGGCTCAGGTCAAGCCCTTCCTCCTTTGAAATCTATGGTTTTAAAGGATAAAATACATGCTTATTGATATAATGAGTCTTTATTTTACCAAGGGATTTGATGAAATCATAACATTGTAATGGTGAACATGGAGGATTTTAGATTCCAGTTTGGTAGAGTTACATAATCCTGAAGAACAAAACTACAGATTAATTTATCTGCGGCAATATAAAAAGTGATATCACAGCCTTGCATTTAGTTTACAGGGTGCAGTTTTTTTTTTTTAATCAGGAATTATTTGGAGACAGAAAAGGCATACCACAGATACAGTCAGTGGGGTGTGTTCCCTAGACATCCTATGGAGCTGAGTTTCTCATGTTCAACCTACAGTCATTTCTGGTACATAGTAAATATTCATAAGTAAATATTTCCTGAAAAAATAAATGAACAAAAGACTAAAAATTGAGGGCCAAAATAGACATTTCAAGGAGCTTTTTTAGTGACATGGAATTTTAAATAACACAATTTCTATGTAGAAATGTCAAAAGACCTGACTGGTTAGCATTATATGAGTATGTATATTAACTGCTGCCCAAATGCTAAGCAACATGATACCACCAGGTAAACACAAAAAAGGGGGAAGATGTAAAAAGAGCTTTGGGAGAGACTACCAAAAACTGAAGTGCTAATTATTCAGGCAAGATAATGGAAACTTAGACTTCTTTAGTTCAATGTGTAGGGTCTAAATTTTCCAATGAAAGACTACCGTGCATTTTGTTTAAAAAAATTAGGAAGATTAAGAATTTGAGTAGTTTTATTTTGTGTAGTTTCAAAGTGATTAACTAAAATCAGTGGGCAAAAATTATTTGGAGCCTAAATTTTAGGTTTATATAAGAACAACTGATGAGGACTGCAATTTTTTTAAAAACACTGATTTTCAAGTAATGCTAAATGTTTATAAGCAGAGACTAGATGAGGATGTATTCAGTCACATTTTAGGAACAAAATCCTTTTCACACAGACATTTTCTTAAAATTTTATAACCTTACAGTAAGTTCTTGTCTCTAAATTCAAGTAGAACTTTTATAGTAGTGCAGCTCAATAGAAATATAATACATGCCATATATGTAATTTTAAATATTCTAGTTGCCATAGTAAAAAACAAAAAACAGATAAAATTAATTTTACTGATTTCACTGAGATGTCCAAATTATTGTATAAACTCATAATCAATACAAAAATATGAATATTTTACATTTTATATTCTCTTCAAAACCCACACATATTTTACACTTATTTATAAATCTTAACATGGAGTAGCCAAATTTCTAAAGCTCAGTGGCCACATGTGGTTCATGACCACCTTATTAGGCAGTATAGAGCTCTATTAACCATTATACTCATAACATTGTAAAGAACTAATATCTCATAATTACTTTGAATAAAATAGTAATGTTTTGTTTATAACTTGTGGTGAATTTAGATTATTCTTACGTCGGTCTTATTATCTTGCATTATGTGTTCTGAGTGAAATTTTCAGGCAGTCCTCGGGGTATAGGAAAAATTACGGGAGTGGGATTGACCTGTTATTTCAGGAGTTTCTATTCTCATTTATGTGTATCTCAGCTTGTGTTGCACTGCTTTCTTATAGACAGGAATATAATATTATTTGGCTTTCAAAGATATATGCTTGTCTCTCTAAATAAATTTTCCATCCTTAAAGTTGGCAATATGTCTTATACTACTCTATTTTCCAGTGAAAACACTGCCTTTTATTTTATACAGGAAAAGGTGCTTATTATATCAATCGGTAGTTTTAGAACTACCTATATATTAATTTAATCAACCAGTGACCAATTTTATAACCAAAATAAGTTTATCAAACCAATTGTTTTAGCTATGTTATTGGCAAGATAGCACCAGCCATTTGACAGCCATATGATTAATAGTCTTTGGACACAAAGAGATGAAAAAAATTCATTGCTTTTCTTAAGAGTTCACTAGTTCAGCATTAGGCTATGCCCATTCTAAAACAGAAAACACTTTCCCACCCAATTAAAATTCTACATGTCATTCCTTGGTCTTCCCTGTCTTTGTAACTTGGAATTCTTATGCAACTTTATAAAGGAAACATGTAATAAGAAAGCGTTTATAATTTAACAGCTCATTCTTGAGTCACCAAATTTTAAAACACAAAGTATATCATGCCTGCTTTTCAATTCAGAATTATGATAAATTGTCTAAAACAGTTGAAAGCAATGGCTGATAAATCATCTTAATTATTGGGTAAGTTACTTCTATTGACTTTAAAGGAAATAGATGACCACAAAAGAACTGGAATCACAATTAAATCACACAATGTTAGACAGTGCACACAAAATAGGTTTTAGTTATATAGAAAATAATCAAACAAAAGTTATAATATTGCATGAGAAAGTGTATACCAAGCATAGGTTTTGGACACTTTTAATTTTTTACTTACCTTTTCATTTTAAGAGCTTTAGCATGACTGTGCAGTCATACAAAATACATATAAATTAGAAGACAGGGAAGTATAATAAATGGATAAATGGACACATAAAGAAGAGACAGAGAAACCGAGAAAGACAACACTTTGTTTTCCTTGATTTTTTAATGTTTCAAATTGCTTAACAACTATTAATTGTGCTTTGTTGGATTATTTAAGGATTAATGAAATTTAAGGCTTTGTTGAAGTTTTGGCATTAAAGCTGAATTTTATAACAAGTTAACAAAGGATAACAGACTGAAGAAAAGCAAGATCAATTACAAACTGATTCATTGTAAATTGAAAGCATTCAAAATTACTCAGATACACTTTATTAGTTTTAAAATGTAAGCTTTCCTTGGTTAAATATTACTTTGGCATGCACAGATACACTAGCATAATAACGACTGTGTTTACACAGACAGCAAGTAAACATTTGTTAATCTGGACTATGGAATCTTAATAATCATGATAAATTACCACTATATTCAAATCACACTAAAACCTAAATTGAAAATAAATAATCCAAGTGCTACAGATTGGTTTAAAATTGCTTCAAATCCATCAGTCTCCTTTTTCCATTCTGCAGCTTTGAAAATTTATTTATCATTACAATATTGATATAGAAAAATAAAGAATTCATGGAAACCAAGATGAAAAATTTCAAGGACAAGTAACACACTATAGTACAGAAAAGACAGACTACTGATATGATATGAAGAGTTATTTCACATCATTCTATCTGTAGAGGAAAAGAACTTACAAAAACAAATAAGTGTATTGGAAAGATACTACATCTATGCTAGAAGAAAGATTATTTAAAATATGGTTTATAAACTTATTTATTCTATTATTTTAAAATTATTAGAGCAAACAAGAAAATGTAAGAAATATTATTTTTAAATTAAATAAATTGACTCCAAATAGTGACATTTCATTGGTTGCATTCTTTTGAGAATAGATAAAGTACTGGTTTACCTTTAATGCTTTGATAATAAAAATGTGAAAATGTGACTAATTTGTGAGGCTAATTAGAGGATATTACCCAGTAGATTTCAATTGATTTTGTATGGATGAGGTTAATTTCATGCTTACACATTTTAAAACTGGATGCAAAATATATTCGTGGGTCAAGAATCTGCTTCCTACTGTCGACCTTTTATAAAGTTTAACTTAGAATATTGCCCTATTTCATGATTACATGACTTTTTGGAGTAGGAAATGAATTAAAAGAGGAAAACATTTAACTCTAAAATGTATGGGGGAGACAGACAAAAGTAAAAACATAACACTTTAAGCAATTTTGTATTTTAAACTTTCTTTTCATTTACTTAGGTTGTTTTCCAGTTTTATTTCTTCCATTCCCCCTTCCTTCTTCCATTTCTTCCTCCCTACCACCTTTTGTTCTTGTCATTTTTAATACAAAAAGTATAACGAAATCACTGTATTTGAAGTGAAATTGGGTATGTTTATACTAACACATAGTAGACCAACAAAAACTACTTTATGACATAAATAGAGGCAGTAAACTATGCTGAGTCAGTGTATTGAAGTGGACAAAGCAATGGACTGAGATCTAGTATTTGCTAACCACACTGTCTAACTGTGAGAACTTGGTCAACTCACTGACACTCTCACAACCTCCTATAAATATCTGAAAGTCTCTGGTCCAAAGCAAAATTGCTTTACATCTACTGACACTGATCAGGGGACTAATTTTCCTTTATCAAAGGAGAACAATCAAGATTCACCAAATAGCTTTAATTATTTCAAATGTTATGCTAACAAGACCCAGATAGTTTTATCAAATGACACTGCTCACCAAACTCAATTACACATCTACTTTAAAAATATTTTACATGGTTACCAAAGGGATTTATTAGCGAAGTTTCAATGGACTTAACCTTGTTATAGGGATAACCAATTACACATGTGGAAAAAATAAGCTAACATAAGAATTATGTTGTTAGGTTCATATTTTTCTGATTCATTTTAGTAAAATAAAATTTGCAGATATTATACAGTTTGACTAGTGATCTGTTACTATTACCTGAAGATATTAGTTGTAAATATTACATATTTAATGCTCTACAAATTATGCAATATTTACAAGTCTTCATCTCAGTTTTCATGTTTTTATAGAAAATTTTACTAAAAATGAATATCTATATACCTACAATGTACCTACAAAAATTAAAAAAATTAAAATTTAAAGAATATATATAGCAAGAATACTGTTCCAATTAAGATACAATATTATTTTCCATCATAGGTGTTAAGTTATAATACGATCAGAAAGAGACTGCAAAATATCAATGTATTTGCATTGATAAATCTGACTACAGAAAATTAAGCTTTAATTAAAAATTTTCAATCCAATACATCTTCATTGGACCTTCTAGATCACATTTATAAAATGCATCATTTATTTCCCACCGAAGTTTAGGAGAGCCAAAATAATTAAATCACTGCTTAATTATTTTCCACACATAGAACCATATTTTAAGATAGATTAGGCCCAATCATGTGTTTCTTTTTCTTATATATTCTACATTACATGGGAAGGTCACTGACTCTCTCACAGCCTCCTATAAACTTGTGAAAGTCTCTTATCCAAAGAATGATTACTTTTATATCTTCTGACACTGAATGGAAGTAAAAAAAAAAAAAAAAAAAAAAAAAAACTTGGTAATTTACAATTATTGCAGCAATCAAACAATGAATATTTAAGTATTTGATGCCCGATTGTCCAAATCTCATATTACAGTTGTAATACATATATATAGAAACTGCTACATGAATTTTAGCAGCAATTTTCAAGGCCTATATGGAAATTAAAGAACATATGCCAGATATATCCTATAGCAAATAAGTCTTAGTAAAGGATCAAAGTCAGAGAAAATAATTTCACTTTTTTCTGGTTAGTATCAATTTCAGAATAAATAATTTAACATTTCAGCTCCTTAGAACAGTGAAGTATATCTAAATCTCTAGAAAAATACAATCTAAGCAAATTTTATGTAGAAATTACATAATATTTTGTAAAAAGTAAAATAATTGCCTTTATTAATATGACACACCTAAAGTTTGTTTAGTCAAAATTATTTTGCAGCTAAGTATTACAACAATAAAAATATAACTTGATGCATATTTTATTATTGAAATTTTTTTTAATTTTTATTTTTGAGATGGAATCTCACTCTGTCGCCCAGGCTGGGGTGCAGTGGTGCGATCTCGGCTCACTGCAACCTCCGCCTCCCGGGTTCAAACAATTTCCCTCCTCAGCCTCCCAAGTAGCTGGGATTACAGGCGCCCACCACCATGCCCAGCTAATTTTTGTATTTTTAGTAGAGAAGGGGATTTGCCATGTTGGCCAGGTTGATCTTCAACTCCTGACGTCAGGTGATCTGCCTGCAGCGGCCTCCCAAAGTGTTGGGATTACAGGCGTGAGCCACCGCACCAGGCCTATTATTGGAATTTATATGCAGACTTTCCTAGTCAATCAGAGTTAAATTTGGAGTCATTTTTGAATTCATCATCTTCTTGGGTCCTTGTATGTAATGACTTAACTCTAGGCTACCTCTAAATATCTCCGCAGCAGCAGTTCTCTAAGCGTGGTCCCTAGACCTTCAGCATCAATCTGACCTAGAAAAATGTTAGAAATGCAAACTCTTGTGCTCCACTCCAGACCTAGTGAGTCAGAAGCTCTGAGTGTGGGGCCCAGCACACTGGTTTTAACAATTCACCCAAGTGCATACAAAAGATTTACTGATCTAGACTGAAATTTCCTTTCCACTCCCATAGCTATCCCTTTTTTTGAGGTCATCAGTGTATCTCATCTAGACTACTGCAATAGCTCCCGAACTTCATGTCATTATTCAGTGGAATTCTCCTCACAACTATCACTGGACTAATTTCTCAACAGTGCATACACAGATACACACACACACACACACACACACACACACACACACACAGAGCACATCAAGAACTCTTCATTGCATACTGAATTAAGCATGAATGATTAGTCTGGCTGTCCATGACCTCTTCACACTGTGTCTAGCCATAATCTTCAGCCTTATCATCCACAACTAAGTTTTATCTTCCATGCCCTCTACTCTGAAAACTAAAGGAACTCACTCTTCATTGAACACACTGTATGCTCCTAAGCTTTCTCATATGTTTATGCCGAATTGTTACCTCCTCTGTGTTGCTGGAGTGACTGCTAAACTCACTTACCATGCACTCACTCTCAATCTAGTATCCATGAACACATCTTGCCCTATCATCAAACAGTAAGCTCCTTGAATCCATCGTATTTTACCTAGCAATAGATCCCCCTCACTACCAAACACTGTTATCGGAAAATAATATATGGTTGGTGAGAATTCATCCTGATTAATCCCTTTTCTCAAGTCTTCACTCATTAGTGCTTTTAGATATACCTCAACTAGCATCTCTCCCAAATTGCTGACTCCCCTTCTCCAACTTGGCTTCTAGAGGGATGGAGAGGGGTAGAACTGTCATAATTAATATGAATAAATAATCAGTTTATTTTTGTCTTCCCATGCCCCTTCCTATACTTTTGTCTCCTATCACCTTATTTTCCCGATGGTATCCACTTGCCCTCAGCCATGCCACTATACTCCGATGCCCTAAAACAGAGACAGTTGAGACAAGGAGTCTCTCCTCATTGATTCTGTCAATTTACTCAGGGTTCTAATATTATCTCTGATTGACTGTTGCAATTCTGATCCTCTCCATTAAAACTGCCATTTCCTCACATTGATTTCACATAGATTACGAAAAAACACGCTTTTTTCAAAGTCATTGGATACTCTTAGGTAACCTTAATAAAATGGGAAAAGGCAGCATTTTTATGTATTTTAAGGGGCGTATGTGGGACAAACATAACTCCTTAGTAGTTCTTAAATTCATCCACTTCATTATCTTTAAGGCTGGTCTTTGTCATGAAAATAGCAAAGACACGATTTTCTGACTCCAGTCGATTACAGCAGAGACCACAGAAAATCAGCAATTCTTTCATTTTTTTCCATCAGTTTTTGTCTCAACCCCCCAGATTCGGCCATTCAAGTGTAATATACGTAACGATGGAAATACCCATTGATATTAATTATTTTTAACCATTTCATATCTATACACTGATTAATACATTTTAAATGCATGTTTTTACATATATTACATAATTTGATCCTCATTACAATCTTTAGATTAAAATAAAACAGGCATCATCTCCCTTATTTTGTAGCTAGAAATGAGGCTCTGAGAGGTAAAGAGGCATATCCAAAATCACTAAGTAGTAATGTGCTCAGCTAGTGCTCAAAGCAGGTCTTGTGTCTTGAAGTTAAGGACTTTTTGCTCTCACCATACTGCTCCTTGCTGAGGCCAAAATTAACATTACAGAGAGCTGCACTTGGACAGTCAAGTCCTCAGCCAATCTGAACTGAGGATCCCTTTACTCACTGCTTTCTGGGCTTCGGAATTTCTTGTCATGAACAGTCCTGGCAGGAGACATGGGAGTACCCCACTTTGTATTCTTCACCAAATAGTAAATCTAGACACCAGTGAATTTTCAGCATAAGTTATTTCTCTATTCAAGGGCTCTTTAGAGTTATGTTCTAAAGGCTATACTGAAATTACTGATTACAAAGAGTCTATGACCTACCCGTGTTCAATCCAAATCTACTTTTTTTATCACCATAGTATTTTTTTTCCCCAGGTTACTCTTCCATGAAACTTAGACATAGACTCAACCATAGAAAAGCCATATTCTAACCTAATATTATCCTGTATAACCCCTACTATAAAGAAACCTGATTTTGAGATCAAAGGCTACCCCCTAAAACCTCCAGCACTTCAGCACTTCCCTACTCCAGAGCAAACACACACAAGACATTAAATGTTTTCAATTTCTTATTGTAATCAACAAAAGATTACTGAATAGCCAAATTTTAGAACGAGCAGGGATTTATGAACTAATCTAATTTAGAAATTTCAAACCATGTTCTATGAGCATAATTTATACTTCCTGAATTCAATCATAGGAAGGAGAAAGATAAAATGGCAGATATTTCCCCCATCTAGTAACTCTATTATTTTCCAATTTATTAATTTAATTTTAAATAATATGATTTTAATATTAAATATTTAAATTTAATACTTTATTTTAAATAATAATATTTTGGGCAGGATAGGTTTTCTTTTAAAAATTGTTAGTCTATTTTAACTTCCTCATCTTACAAACAATGAAATGGATATGCAGAAAAATCACATATTCTGGCTACTACTGAAAAAGTTAGGCCTAAATCTCAATCTTCTAAATCCACTGTTTTCTCTGGTGAGATTACCTTCTAAATCTATTGTTCTCTCTGCCGAGATCATCTCACCATTATTTGAACATCCCCATGAAGATGAATTAGTGTTAAACATATTTTATGATTATACTAAGTATTCATTTCTGTTTGAAAACATGTATTTCTTAAGCAAGGATCTTTATACCCTTGTATCTTCTCACCACAATCTCTAACACAATGGAAGCTCAATCCCATTAGCTGATGCAATGAATATATAAGCAAAGTGTCAGATATGCTTTATTTCTGTGTTTTTCATTTCATCGTGATAATAGAGCATAATTATCTCTTCAGAGCCCTAAAATGGGGTCATTGTTACACTCAGTTGCCTTTACTAATTTAGAGAAAAACAAATACTTTGAAAAGCAAACATGTGATTATTTTGTTAATTAACATATAATTGAAAATCTGGGGCCAGGCACAGTGGTTCACGCTTGTAATCCCAGCACTTTGAGAGGCCCAGGCAGGAGGATCACTTGAGGTCAGGAGTTCCAGACCAGCCTGGCCAACGTGGTGAAACCCCGTCTCTGCCAAAATACAAAAATTAGCCAGGTGTCACGGCGCCCGCCCGTAATCCCAGCTACTTGGGAGGCTGAGGCAGGAGAATCACTTGATTCCAGGAGGCAGAGGTTGCAGTGAGCTGAGGTTATGCCACAGCACTCCAGCCTGGGCAACAGAGAGAGTCTCCACCACACACACACACACAAAATAATAATAATAATAATAATAATAATAAATGAATATTCACTGGAAATTTCTTATGCCTTATGTTTCTAGGGAAAATAAAAGAAGTTCATAGAGTGGATCACTTTATGCATGATTTCCAGAAGTATACTTACAAATTCATGCAGAATGTGAAATGAAAACTCACAAACTTGTCTTGGTCACAAACTTGTATTGGCTGGGTCTGTCACATCTGTGGTGGAGAGCAAATTCTACCCATTTTTTAATATCTGTGAACCACAATCTTGTAACACAATTTATCCAAAGATAATACCTTATTTTCTCTTAAATATTCTATAGCTTAGTGATTTATTAAAATGTGCATGTGTGTGTGTCTATATCTTAGTAATGAAGTAGTAGCATTTTTTAAGGATTGAAATAAATCTCCATTCATTGTCTTGTTATTACATAAGCCATTGATATCTTTAGAAGTAAAAACAATTGTCTTTGTAAGTAACAATACATTCTTTCAAAACTTTAATCAATTTTAAGAGCCTGTCACATTTTTTTGCAGGTAATAATGACTGACTCAAATATATATATTTGTGACAGTTAACTACTAAGTTCTCTCATGCTGTCTCTCTCCATATGTAGAGAATATAGCCTTTTAAAAGTCAACTATATAAGGTCTCTATGTATGGAGAGAGAGAGTACAAGAGAACTAAGTAGTTAACTATTAAAAATAACTTGCAATGAATTAAGGTAAACTAACAACTTTTTAATTTGGGAAGGTGAATTTTGAAGGGTAACTGTGTCTCATGCATACAAGCTAAACTATTTAGAATTTATCATGTCACATTTCACTTATTTTGAAAACTACTTTAAATATGTACTATTATATAACATGATGAGACACTGTAATGCCTTAGAAAGTGCAGCAATTGTGAAACCATGCTATTACTGGTTGCTTATATCTATCAAAATATTTTTTGAAAATGTTCTATTTTTCCAGGAATCAATACTTACCTGACATACTGCATCATATTTTCTCATAAATACTCCAATGTTTTTTTCATTTCAGATTATTTCTAACAATTATCTATATACCTAAATACATATATTGATTTTATATACATTTTTATGTTTGAAAGCATATCATATATATTGAAATTTATCAAACTACAGTATATAAATTTCTAGGTAATTACTTGCATTTCAAATCTTCCCAAAGAGCTGAAATTCTATAACACTATATTTATACATTTTTGCAAACTACTTATTAAATAAGACTTTCTCTTCATCAAATCATACACAAATATAAAGTCTATCACGCAAAAGTTCCATATTCCCTGGTTCTTCTTAAACAGTAATATAAATAGGCATATAAAATTACAAAAATTAGGATATGTAAGCTTTGCAATGATTTGTTTTCATGGCGTGATCATTTCATTATAGCCTAATGAATTTTGTCACAGTGTCTACAACTAGCAAAAGCAAGTTAAACAAACACACTTGCACAACCAGTAAAGAGGTAAAAAAACACCCTAGACCGTGCAGAAGATGTACAAGACCTCATTTTGGATATTTGATCCACATTACATACAAGCAATATTGTATCAGTACTGCTTTTGGCAAAATTTATCGGTAGTGCTTTATGTTGATGGATGACTTGTGTGCTTTTGGTTTTATTTATTTTTTTGGCCTTCAGCATGCTATTTGTTATTTTTTTCTGTAGGTGACCCCTGAAAGTACGTATGTAAACTGCAGCATAGAATGCAGTCCTAGAATATCTATGGCAGCAAAAGATGAGAGAGAAAAAGAGACAGAGAGAGACAGAGAGAGACAGAGACGGGGAGGAGTGGCGTTTATCTCCCATTATAATCAGTGGTAAAATTTCCTTAAATACATTTTGGCATTCATTTTCCTTTTGAAAACCTTGCTGTGGGGTCTACTTGCCCCTTTCAGAGTACTGCGCAACCTTCGCAAGAGACCATTTAGCACAAGTTTCCACCTTGGAGTAGATCTTCCTACCTTTCCAGTCTTAATTCTGTGTGAAATGGCTGCAAATCGATGGTTGAGCTCTGAGATTTGGGGCTCTACTAATTTCCTGCAGTGGTCACCGCGGTTTGCCATCAAGTTTGCTGCTTGGTCACGTGTAGAGTCCACCTTTGGGCGTATGTCATTCAGTTCTGCCTTTAAACGCTATATTCCATGAGCAAGAGATAGGACTTGAAGTTAGTAATTAATGAAGGTCAAGATAGAAAAAGAGAGCCAAACAGAGCGAGTGAGCAAGTGAGCGAGAAGAGTGAGAAAGAGAGAGAGAGAAAGTAAGAAAATGAGAGCAAGCACATGCAGAAAATACAAAGGGAGATAAAACCACAACTTCCATAAAACAGGACTAAAATGAAAATGCGTGTGATTTCAGAAAAATAGATCACCGTCCTTAAGTTTGATGCATGTCTATTTAAAATGTTTATTTAGTCCGAGGAAGGACAGGGATGTTTTCCCAACTATGTTGTTGCAACTATCATAATATATTCTATTTAGTCTTATTTTATTATATCGTTACTGAATTTAATAGTTGTGGAATGAACTAAGTATGTGCTCAGGAGGTCAGGTAGCTGAAGAACACTTTTCTATTCCTTCCTAGCACTTTCAAGTTCCTCTTTATTACATTGAGTGTCATAAGAAAAAAAGTGATTTTCTAACACATACGAATTTTCTGTCACATACAGAGGTACTGAGGAATGTTCTTCCTGACCTGCCGGGTCACAGAGGTTGAAGTTAAATAACTCAGACCCTATTATTCAAAAAGCCTTGAAGGAAATTCACCATAAGATGACATCTCTGACTATACATCAAGGGATAATGAAGAGCACAATACAGATCCACATCAAAATAAGCTTCAGACAATGGCATAAATGTGTTTTGGGGATAGCCTGGAATGAATTTATAGTTTTTCATTAAAGGTATATCGTAATCTGTGGAAAATATCAGAGGCATAAAAATAAATTGCATAGAAAGAAACATAATTTTTGAGTTTTCTTTAAATAGTAAACAACTAATCAATAAATTTATCAAACATTGCAGCAAAACAAAATAAAAAATGTTTATTGAAAAGAGAGCTGTTAAAATTCAACTCTACCTATTTAATTGGGAAAAGAGACATCATCAAATAGAAACAATGTAGTGTCTATAAGGTATATTTGCGTATTACACCTCTCATACCCTTTTATCGGAATCATTTTTTAAAGAAAAGATTAAGTTCCCCTTGAAAAAGAAGACAGGGCATCCTAACAGTCAGTTTTGAGACTAAAAGAAAGAACCCAAAGCCTAGTTTACATGTAGTTAAAAATGAAAACCTCAGCTTTACATAAGCCCAACATTAAGACTAATTACCAAGATTTGGATATGGCATAGGCAAAAAAATCAGCTGACTGGATTTCAGGTGTTCATTCAGATGGGCTAAATGAATGATAGTGTCAGATTGTTCTTTGTGTTAGACACAAGAATGTAGTACCACCATTGACAAAGGCAGAAATTTGCAATATGATTTCAAAATAAATCTTGGAATATCTTTCTGAACGGAGTTTACATTGGGTATAATTAACTGAGTGATGGATTTGAACAGAAAGTCAGATTACAGAACTCTTCAAAATCATTCATTTCCATTCAAAGGGGGAAGGAAGGAAAAAGGGAAAGATAAAGGAAGGAAGAAAGGATTGTTTTACTCTTATTAAGACGTCCTTAGTATCTTTTAGGACAAAGATGATTGAAGTAACTGGTGTACAATTTGGACATTACTTTTCATATTTTATTTGCTACCTTAAGCACGTCTTCTTTTTGCTGGGGTTTCTTTTTCTCTGATTCATCCAAAAGTGTGTCAGCCTGAATGATCCACTTTGTGATGTGGTCCACATTCTGGTCAAAAGTTTCCATGTGTTTCTGGTATTCCTTAATTGTACAGAGACATACCATGGCATTATTGGTTAGACAATATTCTTAAAGAATTTTTCCTATGTTCTAAAATGTTTAAAAGACAACAATAAAGTTTCATTGAGATTAGTTTTAAGTGGTATTTTCATATAGAATATTGCGTAAATATAAAGAAAAATATATTAAAATATTGTTATAGATATTGAATTAAGAGCCAGCATATACGTAGAATTGAGAAATTTTCAAACACAGAATTGTTACTGGTCACTTATGTATCTTTTTCTCGTGACAGAGAAGGGTGTAAAAGCTTCTAGCCTTTTCTCTTACCAACAAAAGATTTAACCACTCTTCTGCTCGGGAGGTGACAGCTATCCAGTTACTATTCAGAAGACTGAGTTTATCTTCCACCAACGTCTCCTTCTTGCCCAAAACTGTTTTCAAGGCCTCTCCTACCTCTGTGATACTCTTCAGGTGCACCTTCTGTTTCTCAATCTCTTTTTGAGTAGCCTGTGAAAAGGAGAGCATTGACCTTCAAGTAATGTCTTGTAGTCTTAAGATTTAATGCTTATGAAACGGCTTTCTGTATGGTTACTATGATTCTGCAAGGTTTTAAACCTATAACTATGTATTAATGAATCATGAAAACCATACCATATATACTGAAGCTTCATTGTTGGGTAACTATGAACATATATATGTACATAAGCATAATTCATGTCTTATTTTTCATTATAAATATTTAATAAACATACATATTGTTCAACTAAATATATTTATATTTATTTAATTTATACATGTAGTGGCTAAAGGCAGATATTTGAAAATCCATCCACAAATAAGAAACTGCCCTTAGAAAATTCTACAGTATGGTGCTACTGTATTTCTGCAGCAGGGATTTTTTTAGCCTTTTAGTGCCATGGATCTTTTTGGCATCTGTTGAAGCTTAAAAACCCATTCTCATAATAATGCTTTTAAATGCATAAAACAAAATACATAGGATTTTAAATGAAAACAATTATACTGAAATACAATGTGCAACACATTTTTTAAATATTTGTGATGTAGTAATACATGTTTTATTTCCTAATATGTTAATTAACAAGATCTAGCATCAGGTCTTTAGGATAATTTCAATGTAGTGATGACGAGCATAACTGGTATTTTTAAGTATGTACAATGTCTGGAACACGTTATAAAAGTATCTGTCATTTCTATTAGTGACAAAGTCATGGGTATCTCTATTGCTGGAGTTTGTTGCTCACATTTTAACTGAAAAAACTGCTTACTTTTGGTTTTAATTGAATACAAATAAAGATAAAGTTTTCCCCCAATCCAAGTTCACAGACCTTATTTCTATCCACATACCCTAGACTAAAATCTCCTAAGAGAATACCACTATTTCCTAAGAGGTGATTTATAAAACATGAAAACAATCACATTTAACATGAAAAAAGATAGAGAGTAGTGATGGAAAAAGTGATCTTAGTACAAAGGTTTACTACCTGCCCTGCATAAAGCCCCTTTCCTGGTACATGGCACGGCTGACAGACAATGTGGCCACTCGGCATTCCACTGAGTCTGTGCCTGGTTCTTTCCCTGCCTGTCTAGTTAGCCAGCTGTGGGACATTCACAGAGAGCTGAGCCAGAGCCCAACAGACCCTTTTTCTCCTTTCTCAATAAGGTTAACAGATACAGAGACTGTGATTGGCACTCGAGTTGAAAAGCTATTTGCGAGTGGAGCTGATGTCTTAATCACAGAAAGCCAAAGCAAAACAAAATCATTGAGAAACAGCAATAACAGGAAAGTGGAGAAAGTCCAGATACAAATAATCAATTAATAAACACACAAGGAGCAGCTCTGTAATGCCAGCCTACATCTAATTTCTTAAGAAAAAAATTACAGTACAAGAGTAAGAAATTAGGTATAGGCTGGCCTCATAGAGTCACTCTCAACATGTCTTTTCTATCTTTATAATATACCTAAGTAGTCCTGTGGCTGTCTTTCTGCCACGCCATAAGGTCCTGGTCCACTCGAAATCACTTCTCATACTTTCTGTTTTGGTTTTGCCTTTGGCATCGGATAAACAGGAGAAATAAATGAGGAAACAATGTATAAAAATTTTTATGCAAGACAAAAACACTGTTTCTTCAATTCTAAGATATGGTTTTATGTCACATTTTTTCAATAAAAACATGCCTGAAATTAAGGTACTTAATGCCAGATGAACTCGACAGCTATCATGCATGGGGTTCTTCATATGTAGGTGCTATTTGTTGCACACAGGTGAGCTTAGCAATTCATAAAAGCAATTTCTTCATTTATCAATCGTAAGTGTTGCCTGAGCTCCTATTATATGCCAGTTACTACTGTAGCAGAATCATATGTAATTCTCCTCAATATATTCTGGGAGATTATTAGAAGTCTCTCATTTGGGTAGATACAGACCCTTTAGAGCTTAACTTCAGAGTAGACATAGACTAGATTTTATTCCTTTTAATACTTTGACTTCAACCTTTTGTAGTATACAACCTCTACAACCATAGATGTTAGCCATTGTTACTAGGCTCTGTGGGATAAAACGGTAGAGAAGTCCCCATCCTTCAAAAACTTATATCCAAGTATGAGTTTGTCAAAGAGATGGACATATACGCAAATGAGAATTATCTACTTTCTATATTCCAGTCTACTGGCATCTCGCTGTAGTTGATTTATTCACAAAGGTAACCCTTCACAAAGTTGAAGCTTAATTTATATTTGGATTACTAATTATCTCTTAATAAGTCTTCATAAAGATGACACTATATTTTAGCATCAATGTAAAAAGTTATTGTGTACATAGATTTTGTTTCTTACATGACAAGCAATGCAATTAAAGGCAATGGAATTTTCCAAAACTCAGAAGAGATCACAAAAGTTTTGAACTTAGGGGATAATGTTGCAGGTAGTTCCTGGGTCACAGAAACCATTATGTGTCAACATCTGGCCAAATTCCTCCAGCTAATTTAAACAATGTCCAGTGATGTTCAGTTGATGGGAACAAAATAGGAAATGTGGACTAATTTCTAGTGCCTTCTTAAGTTCCACAAAATTATAAATTAAAACTAAAAGATGTTCAATTTATCACCATTATCAACTTGTATTTGAAAAAAGCAGTGATATGATGGTGGTTTATAACTGCTAATGGTCAAAAGTGATTCACAGGACAATTTACACTCTGTAAAAAAAGAGACCTAGAGTTAAACTTTTATGTATGCTATTCAACAATAAGGAACCAGTATTCAATCATTTGTATACATGCTGTTTTGGGTTAGGAAAAAATATTGTGTTAATTTAGTAGGCCTTAAATTTTTCCCTCAAATGTGTTTTTAATCAAAGATATGACTTAAGAAATAAGACTTAAATAAGACTTAGCCTTTAAATACTATGCTGAGCTTGCTTTCTGGAGATCTGAAATACTAATTGACCAATGTATATCAGGTGCCTAATATCCAGTCTGTACTGTGCTATTCACTGCCAGAGATGAGGAATGAGGTAATCTTTGCAAACCTCACTCTAATCATGCCTACAGTGTAGCTGCAGAGGAAAGCTTAAATGCAATAAAACAATTTGATATCATACTAGAAAAAAATCACATTTTTTTTTGGAAACAGATGAGCCATGGCTGGAATAAGCATGAATGACTACAAGGGAAAGGTGACACTTGAAGGCGGAGTGTGCATGGGATGGTTTGGATTGACTAAAGACAAAGTACGAAGCAACGAGAAGGTATGAAAGTTAGAATACAAGGCTGCCATAGAGGAACAGGGAATTCTTACTGTAAACTAAAAGAATACATTTGATGAGGTTGTTGACGAACCATTTTCTCTGGCTCTAATAGTTTCCCACAACACAAGAATGTCTGCATCTTCAGATGTATGGAGAACCAACCTAGAGCTATTGCCTTGGCCATTGTCTTTATACCTGTACTCATTCCTCTCAAAGGGAGCTCCTTATTTATAGGGTTGGCGAGATGGAAAGAAACAGCTGAAAAGATATGGCATTTCCTCCTTTTCAAAAGCATCCGATTCTCAGCATACATGCCTTCTTCTGCCTTGTGAGGTGAGAAGTGGAGAGGGTTCTAGAAGATCTACTCTTCTGAAGGAGCAAGTTCAAATTCAATGACTAAATTCACTAAATTATAACTCAGACACTTTAGGTTTTTCAGTCATGTAGTAATGTGATTGCTGCTAGGATCGATTTTAGGGCTGAAGAAAAAGCAAGATTGTGTACACTCAGTTTTAACTTGACCTATGACATGATTGTAAGTCCACCTTCAGGAGATTCAAGAGAAGGTGAACGCAAACTATATACTTGGCACTAAGGGTTTTTATGATAGAGGGGAAAATATCTGACATAAGTAAAATCCAATTAAACTATAAATTCTCACAATGTCTAACATATTATTTTCCATATGTTACTTTGTAACATTTGATAGCTCCAGTATAAATAGTCCAAATACTAAGCACTAACTTCCATGATTTCAAACAAATTTGCTGTCTACTTCTTAGCCATAATTTGTAAATGCTACTCTAATTTCCTTATTATAAAAGAATGAGTATAATGAGTTAATTTCTTCCAGTGAAGTCATGCCCCATGTTGATGGGAAGGATGAAGAATACATTCTGATTCATTCCCCATATCTACAAGTATAATTGCTTGTAGAAATTTAAAAAGGCATGTTCGGTTCAGGGTTCAGCTATCGGCTCACTTCACTGATACAGTAGCAAGATGGAAAAACCTTCTCCATTGGTCTCTGCTGATTATACCATCAGCATTTTTCATTATTTTTATTTAATGGTAGAACGGTAAAAATTATTGGAAAAATCATCTGGTCCTATAGGAACACCTTTACAAACATTTCCCTTCAGGGGTAAAGAAATGTAGCTCACTTAACCTCTATTCTCTCCTCCACCCATTTCGTATTTTCACAAGTTTTCCAGTACCTTCCACAGATTTTCTTGGAATTTCTCAGGGACTTATATTCTTAAGATAACTTCTCTGTCTGATCTCTTTTTTCCACCCCCTCTTTTTAAACAAATTTTATTATCTTAAGAGTCTCCTGTTCTCTAGAGCTTATCTTCAATCAGCACCACATTTATTTACCTACGTACCTTAACATCATTTCCTTATAGATTCCTCCCTTTACTAGGACTCAATTAAATTCAGACTTATTTTAGCTATTCCTTTCTCTTACTCATGTTCCCTGTAATATGAATAAAAGGCTAACTAAAGCATCCATAAAAGGCATCTTGAGAAGTCCCCCTACCCAGGTGAATTCTGCACTTAGTATTTGCAAATATTATACCATTTCTGATCACAGAGAACAGGAGAGGGTTCTTTCACCTTTTAGCTACGTAACATATTCGTGGAAAGAAAAGGAATACATTGCCATATTACTGCAATTCTAAGATGTGCATTTGTCACATTTTAAGGATTCGGAAATTGAGATGTAACATACAATTAAGGTTTACCTTGAAAGTGGTAGTGTTTTTTTTTTTTTTTTTAAATTCTCAGCAGCTGTAATCATATCAATGGTGCATCACACAATCTAACATGTCTTAAACATGAGGAAATGAGATGCTAATTGCTTTTACAGCCCCCAAAATTACTCTATCATGGCTAGAGGTTTAGGACATATTTTACTATTAGGCTAATGTGACAGAATAATATAATGATACATTCAAAAAGAACATAAAGCATTAAATAGTGGATTCTATAGCAATGTGTATTGACTTTTTAATAACACTGTATTGTTTATTAAAGAAGAATTTCATGAAAGCAGAATGAACTGAACAGAAATAACAGCTCTAACTATAATGACAGTGAATAGTGACTCCAATGGCATGTAACAGATGTTCTATTTTCTAAGTAACAGCTGCTTGATGCATTCATTGCACCAAGTTAATGATCTGCTAGTGTTATTTCACTTCACAGATAAATTACTCTGCTCACTTTAAAAAAAAAAGATACGTAATTTTTCAGGGGAATGAGAGTATAACAGACTTTAGAGTAAGTAATAGTTCTTATATTTTTATAGCTAAGAGGAATGATGAGTTGAGGCAGTTATCCAGATAATCTAGGACCAGAAACCAGATCTCTTTAAACTGTGAAATCTTACTGTTATAAAAAATATATATACAAGACATGGTTGACTGAGCTGAATTTAGGCTCTCGTCAGACAGCTTGAAATTCGCGGATCTTGTATCACATTATCTAGTGATTCTCAACTTTGCTGAATAAGAGAGCTAGTTAGAGTTAGACCAATTAAATCAGAATCTCTGGAAGTGGGCCCCAAACATTGGGATACTTTTCAAGTTTCTCGGGTGATTTTGATGTGCAACCAATGTTGAAAACCACAGGCAAACAGAAAGATGCATTCTGAGTTTTTATTGAGTGATAGTCATTAAATTCTAAGAGTGAACTGAAAGCCAAAGGATAATTGAGCAACCAATGTTTGTTCTTCCTGAGGTTAAATATTATAAAACTTTGTTTCCAAAATAAACGTGAAAAACACGGTAATTTGTTAAACAAGTGGCTATTTAGACATAGATTATTCTGCATTTAACACCTTCAGTTAAATTTATTAATACCATTTGTGTGCGTGTGTGTTTGTGTGTGTTCCTCTCAGGCAACTCTTGGCATACTAAGACTACTGTTAATAAAACAGGCGGTAGGATGAACATACTATAGGACCAAATTTTTTTTTTCCAGAAAATCTTATTCTACCATTTGAACTTTCAGATGACACCATGGATATTTAGGGGTTTAATGGAACTAAATTATTTAACTGAGTTGGAATCTTTGATGCTTAAAACAAAATTAGAAATAAAATGTTAGTGATTAAATCAGAAAATCATATAGATTAGACTTTGTCAAAGCTTGTATTTCCCAAACATAATGATCTTCAGGGAAGTAAACCTCTAATTAATCACATACATATTTACTTTCCTATGGTTATGTTTTCGTGATCAATTCATATGCTAAACAATATTGGCCAGTAATGGGATGTTCAGATTGATTTACTTACACTCAACTAATCAGAGTGATATTAAGATACTAACAAACAATATTTGAAATCTAAAATCACAACAGTGGGGACAGACTACAGACTGTAGTAGGTGATAGATACACACGGGTTTTCATTTTATTATTTTAATGAGGACTTATATTTTCTGCACTTGAAATTTAGCCATGGTTTGTTTCATGCTTATTGTGAATAAGTAGCTTTTTGTTATTTTAAGCTTAGATTACTTTAAAATTACTAGAAAATAAGACTTCTTATGATAATTTGGTATAGTGGAAAAAACTGTTGAAATCAGGCATAGTATTACAGTTTTGCTATGTACCAGGACTTGTATTTGTTCATCTATAAAACGGGAACATTTGATCAGGTGATTATTTATGTTTGTTATAAAACTTGTACAATTTTAAATGTAAATCAGCATTTTTCTCTTCTCTCAAGAACTGCTTTGTCATTATAATTTGCAACTCTTAATTTGCAAGTTACGTTTAAACAGATATTTCATGAGTATGTCCTATGTGTCAGGCAATATCTTATGTACATGGGAAATATCAGAGACCAAAATACACATTTTCCCTGTCCTTTTGCTGAATGAATTACTATTGCCTACATAACAGTCCAAGAGAGTAGGGGTTATCATGAAAGCTCAAGGAACTTGTGCAGTTCCAGTATTCAAACTCTTCAGGTGCTAGTAATCTCCTGTAGATTGCCTTGCCATTTCCTTCCATCATCTCTATTCTACAGCTATCAGTGTTTGTCACCTCAGCCTAGAAAATTCCATTAACAGAAAAGGAAAAGTATCTGAACATTTATGGGGTGATAAATATCACTGTGATGGCTGCCTCGTGGCATTGCTGTTGTCTGGACCATGCAGCTAGCTAGGATTGATCCATATTTTTAAAAACTTAACATTAATTTTACCCTCTTTAATACTACTCTGATTGAAGGGTGAATTTAAAAATACAGTGAAAGGGCTATGTCGCTGTAGGAAGTTGCAATTAGCATTAATAATTTAAATTGTCAATTTTCATCATCAATCTTTTATCTCATTTGTTAATATTCTCAAATGGCTTTCCTCCTGTCATTTTAATTTAAAAATTTTTCTTTACCTTTTAAACAATTTGGAATACTTTTAAAATATATTCTTTTTTTCTGTAACTATAATTTGGAAACATGGTCACAGGGTAAGGGGACACAGGACAGTTTTCTTACCTGCAGCTGTCCCTTCAGTTAATCACCCCTGACCACATCCTCACTACTTCTGGAAGTTCTCCCATTCTTTCTCTGTGGGATCATTAAGAATTAGAATACCTAAGACATTCTTGAGTTCGTAATTCTCTTCAAGTAGATGGTATCTTTAAACATCTTAAATTGTGTCACGCACCACCCAGTATCTTTTGGAAGGGCTATGCATTCTAGTATCTATGGTTTGGAATATGTTACTATTTAATTCTGAGCAGGAAGAAAACTTAGATGAATCATTCTATTTAGGAAAGACCAATTCTACAACGCCACTGGCCTATCAAAAGGATCCCAGAAATGTCAAACCTCTGATACTCATTCAAGAAGAAGACATGGCAAAATTCTATGGTCAAACAGGGTGCTGCTTCTATATTAGCTTTCCTCTAGTTCAGGAGTTTGAATATGTTCTGTGAATGGCCACATAGTAGTTGTTCTAGGCTTTGTGAGCCATGCAGTCTCTGTCACAATTACTCAACTCTGCTGTTTTAGCACAAAAGCAGCCAGAAAAAATAAACAAATATAAATTGATACACTTCAATAGTCTTATGTACAGACACTGACATATGCATTTTTAATAATTTTTATGTGTCCTGAAGTATCTAGTTCTTCTTTTGATTTTTTCCAACCATTTACATAAAAACAATTTTCAGCCCATGGGCTGTACAAAAGAAGGTGGCTGAATGGATTAGGCCTACCAATTATAGTTTGCCCATCTCTGCTCTCATTTATCTGACTAGTTAATTTGCCTTCCTCTTGGTGAGAGAGTCTCTTAGGCATTCTTCTCTATTAGGAAGCTCAAGAAGTTGGCTAGAATTGATATGGCCCCTATTAGGTCAGCTCTTTTCATGGTTCCCATGGTAACATTAATCCTCATATTGAGGATCCTGGACCCACATGACTTTGAAATCCTTAGGAGTGAATGACTATTACAAATGTAATCATGGTCACCCTATGAAAGCAATCAACATCCGTTATTTTCTGACTTTTTAACAAAAGCCATTCAGACTGGTGTGAGATGGTATCTTATTTAGGGTTTAATTGGCATCTCTCTGATGATTAGTGATATTGAAGATTTTTTAATATGCTCATTGGCCGCTTGTATGTCTTCTTTCGAGGAGTGTCTATTCACGTTCTTTGTCCTGTTTTTAATCTGTTTTTTTTTAATTTCTTGTTGACAAGTTTAAGTTCCTTATAGATTCTGGATATTATTCTTTTGTCAGATGCAAAGTTTGCAAATATTTTCTCCCATTCAGGAGGTTATCTGTTTACTGTGTTGATTGTTTCTTTTTCTGTACAGAAGCTTTAATTTAATTAACTCTCATTTGTCAATTTTTGTTTTTGTTGCATTTGTCATTGAGGTCTTGGTCATAAATTCTTTGCCTAAGCCAGTGTCCAGAAGAACTTTTCCTAGGTTTTATTCTAGGATTTTTAGTAGTTTCAGGGCTTACATTTAAGACTTTAATCCATCTTGAGTTAATTTTTGTATATGGTGAAAGGTAGGGGTCCAGGTTCATTCCTCTATATATGGCTAGCCAGCTATCCTAGCAATATTTAATGAATAAGGTGTCCCTTCTCTGTTGCTTATTTTTGCCAACTTTGTCAAAAATCAGTTGGTTGTAGGTGTGCAGCTTTATTTCTGAGTTCTCTATTCTGTTCCATTGATCTAGGTGTCTATATCTGTAATAGTATTATGCTGTTTGCGTTACTACAGCTTTGTAGTATATTTTAAGTGGGGCAATGTAATGCCCTCAACTTTGTTCTTTTGGCTTAGGATTGCTTTAGCTGTTCAGGCCCTTTCTTGGTTCCATATGAATTTTAGAATTGTTACACAATACACCCATGTAACAAACTTGCACATGTAACCCCTGAATCTAAAGTAATTTTAAAAAGAAAGTAATCGAGAAACAGAGAAAGGGATATGGAGCTTTTTGCACAGTTTTCTTGTTTACAAAAAGGGAAATAAGATCATTTTCAGAGGACCTTCAGTTCTGATGTTACCTCACCCAGTGACTTACAGATCTGTCCTCTCTAATAACGATTCTCTCTGAATAGAAGTGTTCTTAAGGATAGAACAGCACTGCTGCCACACAAACTGACCATACACAGGCTAACTTTTGGTTCCACTTTGATGAAAATTCTCAGTTCTCGGTTTGCGCTATTCATTCCCTTGACTCTGCTTTCACAAGGAAATCATTGATAAGAATCTGTCGATCATGCTTCAATGTAGATAATAAAGAAAAAAAAAGCCACAGAAACATCCTCTTTAAAAACTGGAAAGACAATGTTCCTTATTCATCTCGCTGGAATTAATCTGCTAGGTTCCTGTCCTGTTGCTCAATCAGCAGGAGAATCTTTGGCCAATGCTTAGGCAAACCGAATGAACAGTGGCCATGCTCTTTTGAAACCAATAATACTCACGAAGTGGGTGTTCCTTAATTACTAAGCGTTATCTTACAGAACCTGGCTAGTGGAGTTTCCAAAAGGAAAAATCCCAAGCATTTGCTTTTGTATGTTTTCTTATGTTCTTATATGTGATTTTAGACACACAGAAAGTATACCAAATGTAATCATTACTTCTGTATGCATAACTCATCTTAAGGAATGAAATATTACAAGTATCATTTAAGTGTCCTGTTCATATCCCACCCAATTCTTTTGTCTTTCCTCACAGAGATAGCTCTTGTTCTGTATTCAGTTTATATTAATTCCCAAACATCTTTCTGCTTTTACTATATATTATATATAACTAAATAATGTATATTTCTACATATTTTATCCTTTGTGTAAATGGTAACACACTGCAACATTTAAGGTGTTTCCAATTTTACTATATTTCTCAAGAAGCTTGATTTTTATAACATCTCTTTCATCGTTTTAGGCAACCTTCCCCTTCCTTTTTAAAGGGCACAGCATTAGAAAACAAATGGTGAATTGCCCCCTAAGCCTATGCCAAGTTTATAAAGAACATAACTGATCTTTTGGCCAGTGTAAGAAACTCTTCTGGCCGGGTGTGGTGACTCACACCTGTAATCCCAGCACTTTGGGAGGCCGAGGCAGGTGGATGACCTGAGGTCAGGAGTTCGAGACCAGCCTGACCATCATGGTGAAACTCCAACTCTACCGAAAACACAAAAAATTAGCAGGGTATGGTGGCAGGTGTCTGTAATCCCAGCTACCCGGGAGGCTGGGGCAGGAGA
This sequence comes from Homo sapiens, assembly GCF_000001405.40. Lineage (NCBI taxonomy): Eukaryota > Metazoa > Chordata > Mammalia > Primates > Hominidae > Homo > Homo sapiens. The sequence goes on from NC_000023.11 coordinate 32,376,193, forward strand.
ACTGCTTGAACCCAGGAGGTTGCAGTGAGCCGAGATCGGGCCATTGCACTCCAGGATCGGTGACAAGAGCAAGACTCCATCTCAAAATAAATAAATAAGAATAAACTCTTTCTTTCGGTATCTATTTGGTTTCCCTACAAGTTGGAATAATTCATCTCAATGCTAGTAGTACCTCTCTGAAGGTGCATGGGGCTGACTTAAGTATTGCTCACACAATGATGGTTGTCTCATTTTATTAATTCTGTGTATTTTATGGTAGGCCTAAATGATAGTTGTGATGGGACCTTATTGAGAATTTTGGTGGTACTGGAAAACTGCTTGCACATGGACTATGGCCCTATAAATAGGCGATGAAATACTATTAAATTAATTAAATAACATAATCTAGTAAGAAATGAAGGAACAGCAAGAATGCCTGGCTGCTTTGGTGGTCACCAACATAGTTTATATTATAGACAATGCATCATCTGGGGCCTGCCCACAGCCACGGTAAGGAGGTGAAATGAGTATAGAGAATCCAATTTTTTTTTTTTCTCATAAAAACTTAAGTGTTAGATCATTGTGGAAGGGCTTGATTTGATATGACAGGGATTTTTGATAAACCGCATTGGTGACATGAATACAGTAAGCCAGACCAGATTGCTTTTGATTTTAATGTTAGATTCATTTTTCTCAGCTTCGTAATGTAAGAAAAACTGAATTGAACTTTAAATATGCTTATACTTTTCTAATTTAGGATAGGAAATTTCCTCGATTATATAACACGGCTAGTTAAAAACCAAAACCCTAAAACTTTTGTGTCACATGAAGACTTTATGAAATATATATTACTATAGATTAGTAAAATCTGTATTGTTTTTAAGGTGACTTCTGATTCTCCAATTGGAGCAATACTTCCAAATTCTTTGCTAATTTTGATCTTGAAAAGTGAATTCTAGTTTTCTCATATCACAGGAAAAACTAGTACATTTAGACTCAGTATTATCATTAACCAGTATATTAATTTTCATCACACTCAGTACTTGATACTTCATGCCCCCTATAAAACATTCTCACTTCACCTTTTAAATGCCATCATCAAGTAAGAGAGTACTACTGAGCTTTATTTTCAATAGCTTTTACAGCTAAAGTAATAGCCCAACTGTGTTTTCAAATAAATACATTCACTGAGAGATTGATACAGGTTCCTAGAGAAGTCAACATATTTTGAGTTGTCGATGGTGAGTTTTCTTTCTTCAATTATGCTTGGCACGAAAAGGCTCAATAGCCAATTTCTCTGTGACTGGTTCAAACCCAAAACTCTATGTTAGCAAAAATTTTTAGCTATTGAAGCCTTCTAGTACTATGACATACACATGAATATGAAGCCCTGCTTTCCAATTAGATATAGGGCCAAGTATAGAAATGTGTTCTCAGTTAGAAACAATCTGGCTTCTTTCCAGGAAAAAGATACAGAAAATTTTTTTCTGTATTCAGAGAAAATAAATAACCTTCAAATCTCTGATGTCTAATTCTACTTAAAAGCTCAGTTGCAGGAAAGCATATTCACAGAAGGTTACATGATGTGACAATTACGTATTGCATGCCTGTATAAAAATGTCTCCTATAATTCATAAATATATACACCCAGTATGTATCCATACAAAATTAAAAATTAATAAAATAGAGAATCTGAAAATCTGAAAACAATTGCTAGACTACTTTAGACTTCTGCTCCAATATTTTTTCCTCTCATAGAATTGCTTTTCCTGAATGGCCCTTTAGCACTAAATTTTTCTTTTTCATGGAGCCATGTTGGTAGAAAAAAATAAACATTCTTATTGTTTATTATAAGAATATGAATCAGCGTGTTATCACCTTTATGACCCTCCCATTTATTTTCTTCTGGCACTAAGTTCTAGCAAAAAGCTAACATACTACTAGTAAAGTTAAAATTATTTTAATTATTATTTTAATAATTTGGAAACTTTGGGTCTCAAAAATATGTTTACTTCTTGGTTTTGTCTTTTAGGAAGCTTGGCGCCAATTTGTGGCTTTAAAATGTTCCCTGTCCATTCCACCACCCATGATACATTGTGGATATATTTCTATGCAAGAATTTTTTATTATTTATCTACTATAATTTTCCTTTTCCTAGTTTTCCAATTTATTTAGGCTTCTCAAGTTGTGCCATATGTATCTCTTCAAGCCACACTAAATAATTTTTCTGGAATTTAATATATATTAAATATAATTAAGATACTTTAAGATAAAACTGATACTATTTAACTATAGTCAATGTACTTGAAATTATGCTTTGTTTGGATAAACTAAAGGTCAAAAAATCACTTCATGAGTAATTGACATTTTTATGTATTTGAATATTTGAAACTAGATGTTCAAATACTTTCATACGAAAATAAATATAATGTTCTTGGGTCAACAGAACTGGGAGAAATTCAGCAGATATAAATTAAATTGTCTAAAAATTTTTTAAAATAATAAAAAAGAAATTGACTCTAGATATTCAAATTTGCTGCAGTCACATTCCAAATACTTGGAATGATCGGCAACTACATTTAATGTATTGCATTTAAATGAATTTAATTTAGTTTTTAAAAATGTGACATTTATCTTTTGAAACAGCAGATGAAACTTATAGCTTGAATTAAGCTCTCCACCTACCAAGAAACCATGAGAAATGAGAATGTACTCAATAGTCACGGGGTTTCATATATGAGAGTTTGAATTTTATGTTAAAATATTAGAATGATTATCATAAATGTGACTGGCTTAGATCTGCAGGGCATATATTCTTTTATGATTGTTATTTTTAAAGAAATAATGAGAACCTTCCAAATAAATTGGTAAAAAAAAAAAAAAGTTCTGTAATTCAGATGCAAATGAATATACTTTATTTGACAACTAAGAGATTTTAGAGTATGTCATTAACAGCTTAGTGTTTGAAAAGATCTAGATAGAGTGATAAATTATCTTTATTCTATAAAGAAAGAAAATAAATGCCAGTTTTCTAAGCTTTTTTTTTTTCCTACTAGATCTCACAGTAGCTTTGCTCCTTGACGTTATGAAAAATACTTTCCAGGCAGATTCAACAAGCAGACAATTCTCCAGACTATTCAAGCCTTCTATATGAGAAGGATAACCTAGAAACCTCTGCAAAGGTCATTACCTTATAACATTTGAATGATTTCATGGTGAGGCTAATGCAAAAATACCTCAAGTAATATGTTTGAATGATAAGAAAAAATAAGGCTAATGTGAGTTTTAACCTGTATATACTGTATCTTCCTTGCTATAGTAATCTCATGTATGATCCTGAATAACTATAATTCAATATCTTATCTAACATTACATTTATTCTGAAAGAGAAGAAAAACAATTTAATTCCCTACTATTTATTTGGAAATATTTTATGTAACAAAATATATTACTACTTGTTCTCTGAATCTACATAAAGACAGTTTTCAGTTTGGGTCTCATTTATACGATTGTAAGTTTTTACATAAGGTATTGAAAATTTCCCAACTTTGAATAATCTGGATAGCCACATTGAATTAAAAATAAAGTATAAACGTCTTATACATCTAGTTAATTTGGTAACTTTAAAACATTAAGTGGGTGTAAATGGCCTAACACAGTGGCAAATTTTGAGGTAAAACATGTTATCAATATCAGCTATTTTCTTTATATCAACACACTTTCAGGTAATCTGGTAATGAATAAACAGTAAAAAAAAAAATACTAAGCTATGAGTCTCTTGACTAAGTTCTAAGCAGCATGAAATGATTGGCCATCAGAGAAAGGGCAAGAATTTAACGGCTAATGATTACAGGAGTCGCTGTGTCATTTGGTGATGGAAATGATAGCCCCTGCATAGACACCTTGAGATTCTTTCTGAAATGCGACTTTGGCAATATGCTAATCTTGCAAGTCCTGTCCAGCCCAACTGTCTTCAATCTCTGTGTCCTTGCCCTCTTCATGGCTGTGGGATTCATCTGGGCAGTATGGTCTTAGGCAAGCCAGTACATTATAGGATCTCATCTCTGGACCAATTTTCAGACTAATGACCTATGTATTTCTTAAGGTCTTATTCATAATTTACTGAACTCTAAGGAAGCTTTTGGAGAGACTCCTGCTAAAGCTTACCATTGGTTTTATCATGGTCCTGAAAAGCACAGATTAATTTTTAAGAAAGGGAATATGAAACAATATTAATATTTATAATGCTATTATTGCTACATGTTAATACTTCCTTACAAAATCATATTATGTGTTTTCACGTATGTTCAAAATAACCTTCAGTGATATAGGTTTTACCTTTCCCCAGGCAACTTCAGAATCCAAATTACTAGGCATTCCTTCAACTGCTGATCTCTTTGTCAATTCCATATCTGTAGCTGCCAGCCATTCTGTCAAGACATTCATTTCCTTTCGCATCTTACGGGACAATTTCAAGCATTTCTCCAACTGTTGCTTTCTTTCTGTTACCTGAAAAGAATTATAATGAAATGTAATTTAGTTTACTCTTTAATTCAAATTTCGTTATAACCACTTATTTGGAACTTTTATATTTCTGTTATTTAAAATAACTATTTTCTTACACGTTTTAAAATAATATTTTATAAAAATCATATATTCTGAATATTAAGAGTGAATAAAAACTGTCTAGGGCAGATGACATCGTTTGTCCAAAAGATAGGGTCTTGTATGTCGTCATGGTAGAAAAGAAACCTATACGAATTTTTCTCTAAGATAATTTATAGCCAAAGTTTATGATAAATACAATGATATAAGTCAAACTGAAGATAAAACTCATTTCTCACTGAAAACTTACTGTCATGTGTCAATAATATGGCAAGAAGGTTTACAATCCTCTATATACAAGTGAGACTAGCTCATGCTGGTAAGGAATCAAAATGAAGATAGAAGATTAATTCTCTCAAAAGGTAAAAGTATTTGTGTAATACCTAGAATTCTCAACTGTATCCTCGTTACATCTTTAAAGTGTCTCACATCTGCTCAAAAACAATACAGTGAATAGGTCACTTCCTCCTTAAACATAATTTTGCCATCCAATAGGGACAAAAAGATGAATGTGAAGACAATATTCATTCCCATTAATAGAAAAACTAATTACTTGATCCTGTGCTCCTGTTCTCAGTGTTTGATACCAACACCCTCAAAAGCAAATTATCCATATTCTCACATAAGAAATGAACAAATCTGTATTTCTCCACCACCTTCTCAGATGTGCCTATATTTTGTTAAGATTTTCAGTTGGTTGGTTTAATAAAAATCCCAGCATCTCTTTCTACTAAAGGCAGTCAAATCATCAACAAAAGCCAGATAAATTACAATTTCTTAAAGGCAAATCTTCTTGCCTCACACATCTTTAGATTACTCCTCTCTACTCCTGAAAGTTCCTTGAACAAAGAAAGGTCTCACTAAATATGCTTTATGTATTGAATAAAGGAATGAATGAAGACTTGCAAATCGTTAATTACAAGTTAGAAAATATAACTGGTAGAATTTACATAAAGAGTTTATACTCTTACAAGTTGCTCCTGGTTTTCTTTTCTTTGGTATGTGTTTTCACCTTTTTTTAAAAAAAACCCTTGTCTGTCATGAAGCCTGGGAATCTGAACAATAGATATAAATATTTGGCTCTGCAGAAACAGCATGATGGAATGTAAGTATGTTAGGCTCTGCGATACGTAGTGGACTCTCGACTTGAGTATGATTTTTGGCAGAACACCTCATTTTTCTCAACACATCTGTCAAATGGGATTACTATACTTATTAATAGAACACAGGAATATTGCGAGGGTAAAGGCAGACAACAGTTTGAGAGAGCATGACATATTGTACCACCTCAATCCCTTCCTTTATTCTCATTATTTACCTTTAGGGATGGTTCAATAAAAAACTGTGCCTGAATGTATAGAGCAAAAGCTTTATTTACATTTATTTTACTACCTTACAGGTAAATAAAACATGGACAAGATTTGGCTTTTGTTGCTAAGAAATCTGAAAGGTAGACTCCAGATTAATTTCAATTGTAATGGAATTGGTTAAAACAATACCACCACCACAAGTGCGTTATTTGTGCATTATGCCCTAAGCCCAATAGGCACCACTGACTGATACATATATTTATGTCATATATATGTGTGTGTGTGTCTATGTGTATGTGTGTGTACAACCAAAATAAGAATCTATCTATAAGCAAGAAAAACACAAAAGATAAAAATATGTATAAAGCATCTAAAATGCTACAATCGAAATAAATATTCTGGAACCTTGATAACAATTCCAATTCCAAATAATAAAATTCCTTATTTTCTTTAGGAGAGGTGTGCGTACATTTAGAAAACATTTAGTTGCTGAGGCTGTAAATTCATTTTTTAAACAGATTTTCCCTTCTATTTTTTTTTTTCCTAAGTAAAAGCATCTGCCCTTTTGACTGCAAGAATTTTGTGTTGTAGGGGTGTGTGGGGGGTGAGGGAAAATATACTTTATGGTGTGTTTCTATGCATATTTTTCCTATGCATTATTGGTAGAAAAATGATTCCAGATTCAATATTTCAAAGAAATTCTATCTTCCCAGAGCTAATGCAGTATTGATTTTTATTTATTTCATTTTGTTTATTTCCAGCTAAATACATTTTTAAAAAACAGGAGACACTGCCATCTTAAGGAAAATTGAGTTTTATACTTTGTGTGTGTATGCGAGGAATGGATACGTTTAACACAATGCCACCTGCAGTAAAATGTTTTAGTAGTCATTGTTTCACGAAGTTAACAATGTATTTAAGGGATGATATTAGTATTGCTATTTATGTAAATTTCCATAAAAATCAGAGCATAGAGAAATAAAAAGGGGTTATAGGTATTATTACATCAATGGTGCCAGCTTTAATATCTCTTAATAAATTAATTATATTTTCTCTCCCCACTCATCACCATGTAAGAATACAGCAAAAAGGTAAGACAAGAAGAAAGCTCTCCTCAGGAATGAAATGGATCAGCACCTTGATCTTGCACTCCCAGACTCCACACTTGCAGAAATCAATTTACCTAGTTTATTTTATTGTGTTATGGCAGCCAGAGCTGATTACTCCAAAAAGGTAATGCATACTCAATTGTGGCAGACACAACCATATAAATTCTGAAGATGGTTAAAATAGAAGGGTTCCTTCTTACATAAAAAGAATAATGTAATAACATTTCCTTTGTTGCCTTTGCTTTCATTAGACAAAGCTACTGCTGTTGAAAATATTTTGAGTCAAAATCCAGACAATATTTTTATTCTCAGGCAAAGAATATAGGACTTACAGCATTTTTATAAGATGGTATTTATACATGATCCCTTAGTCACAAATGTTTCTACATCAATATTTACTTCAAAAATAAATGTTTGGCCTATGTTTTTGCTGTATTCTGTGATACTATTAAAGTTAAATATGATTTCTTCATACACTTTTATTTTGCTTTAAGGATATTACTATGTGGCAAATGGTTAGAATAAACACAAGCTCTCAGATATGTATTTTCAGGAATAAATAGGGTTTGACATCATTACGAGAATCATTCATTTCTGAATAATAATCAACTCAGGGCACTATTATTCGTCTAATGTCACTTTCATTGCTTTAAATTCTAATTGATTTATTCTGTTATTTTATGTTAAATTTACTCTTGCAATGATTTCGTAAAAATTCCTATGACAAATAAAAAGCCCACACACAAAAAACCTCTATTTTAAAAAGTAAACTGAGAAACTCCCCTTTACCAAAACATATATTTTCTTAATTTAAAAAATACTCATCCATACATTATTTTAGTATAAAGTCACACAGGTCAAATTATAAACTGAAAATTTGTAATTTATAACTATAACATACATTCATTTTATTAATTTAAAATTTATAATTACAAAAACAATATATCTCCAGAACTGAAGCTGTAGCATTAGGATTAATATTAGAGATTATTCAATCTCTAATACATTTGAGACTAGAGATTACTCAGTCCTTCGTAATTGATGTTAAATATGAAATAATTGGCATCTATAAAAATTGATAAGCACCGGAATAAGGTATCAAGTGCAGATACAATTTTTCTGTCTGTGGTGATCTTTAAACAATGATAAATTTCTCTAGAGGATATAAAGGTATCTCATTCCAAAGGTACCTTGGTAGACCAAATGAACAGTTGAAATGTATTTTATTTCAAGATTATCATAATGCTTTCCCATCAATTGAGTATCAGTGTTTCTTATTTTGAAACAAAGTAGGAGAATCTTTTGTCATAGGATGGCAACAAACTTGTTTAAAACATAACAAATATTAATTAGAGGGTTTTTAAAATATAAAAACAAGACTATCTAAGAAAAATGATTACTTCCAGATTTCAACTTAATTATAAAATTTACTTTCTATGGTAAGGAATTGGCAACTAATATCTTGAAGATATAACCTTCAATCTACTTTCAGGCTGAGATGCAAGAAATATGCCTCTCCTTAGCTATTTCTCAAACATGGACATTCATATTTCTGTCTAAGATGAGGTGACAATTTTATCAGTGATGTTGTTCTATTCACTAAAGTTGAGAACCTGAGTTGTAAAAATATAACTTTTTATCCTCCAAGAAATTCAGTTCTTTCAGTCAGAACGAAATTAAAATGTTAGAAGTCCATTTTTGGAAATACTAAGATATCCGTTTATGGAAAGATATCCCATATTCATGGATTGGAATAAATAATATTGTTAAGATGTCTGTACCACTCAAAGCAATTTACAGACTTAATGCAATCCCTATTAAAATTCCAGTGACATTTTTGGCAGATGTAGAAGAAAGAATCCCAAATTTCATTTTGAACAACAAAAGACCCAGAATAGCCAAAGCAATCTTAAGCCAAAAGAACGAAGCTGGAGGTATCATAATTACCTGATTCAAAAATATTCTATAATGCTCTAGTAATTAAAAGAGCAGGATGGTAGTATAAAAACAGACATATAGACCAAAGGAACAGAATAGAGAGCCCAATAATAAATCCACATATTTATGATCAACTGATCAACCAAGGGGCCGAGAATACACAATGAAAAAAGGACATTCTCTTCAATAAATGGTTCTGAGAAATTGGATATCCAAATGCATGAAAATGCAATTGGACACTTATCTCACAGCATATAAAAAACCAGTTCAAAATGGACTCAAGACTTAAAACCTGAACCTATAAAATGATTTGAAGAAAACAGGAAAAAGCTTCCTGACATTGTTCTGGGCAAACATTTTTTTTGGATCTGACTCCCAAAGCACAGGCAACAAGAGGAAAACTAGACGACTGTTATCGCATCAACCTAAAAAGCTTCTGCTCAGCAAAACAAACAATCAACAGAGTGAAGAGACTACTTACTATCATAATCTATACAGAATATTTGAGTTGAGCGAAGTGAGATGGAGAGATATAGGCATCTTGAATTAGCAGTGAAGTGGAGCTGGTCATGAGACTCTGATCAGGACAATGATACAAAAATAATTACAGAGACGTAGGTCTTAACTGGCTATCCATGCTATCTTATTAGCCAAGTGTGGTAGATTTTGCAAGTCTTGGCCATATAGGGAAATAATTACTGTGTAATTTTTAAACTTAATGTGGTCTCTGTGGAATATGTTAACAACATTAGACCTACATATAAATAGATACAGTTTATAATATTTACCAGTCTTCAAGTCATCACAAGTAGATATATATAATGAAAATAAGGAACACTTACAACTAAGAAACCCTTTTAGAGCTATCTGATGGACCAGGAAAAACCTCCCTGAGCGTTACGTATTTTTCAATCTGAATAAGCAGAGCCTCACTGATTAATTATTGTTTCTTAATGAGAATTCCACATCGAAATATGTGTATATGTTTATCTTTGTGTATATGTGTACATATATATATATACGTATATGTGTGTATATATATACGTATACATATACATAGAGAGAGAGAGGTGTTTAGAATTGCTAAGACTCTAATCATACATAATTTATTGCCCGTTGCTTTACAATTTATAAGGAAAGTGGAAAGAAGTGTTTGTGGTCTCAGCATGCACACACCTTTGCTCCCAGCTCATTATAATGCAATTTCAAAGCTGTTACTCTTTCATCAAGTTCTTTGGGATTTTCCGTCTGCTTTTTCTGTACAATCTGACGTCCAGTCTTTATCACCATTTCCACTTCAGACTTCACTTCACTCAGACTTTTATACAAGTTCTAAGTTTAAACATAAAACAAAACATGATAATCAGTAGAGTTAAATTATTTCATAATATTATGAACAGAAATAAATAGAGATCCCCTTAATTGCTATTCCATGTTTGAAATTTTAATAGAGTAGCATTTTGCAGCGGTGGTCAATATCTAGCTTTTGCATTTTCTGTTGATTTAATATTTCTAATTGTCTACACACATGCATATATGTGTCATTTGCAGCTATTCTTATTAAACAGAGAGTTAATCATATATATGTGTTTTGTGATATATATATATTTAGTTCTTCAATCAAAGAACATAAATGTCAATTCTGAATTTTACATGACTTCTATTTTAAATGTTGGAGTTATATAATTCTAGCCATAAATTTGGATGAATTAATTCACTCCTACATCGGGTATTTATTGAGTGGTTACTATCAATCAGATAGTATTTGAATCACTGGGAAGTCAGTGGTGGCCAAAACACACACATTCACTATTGTTCTCATGGTACTTACATATTAGTAACATTAAAGCACCTAAATTTCTACATCATAATTTCAATATATATTGTATCATATATAAGAAAGTAAGGTCCTTTTCAATGTTAATTAAATTACACAACTTTATTTTCTTAAAAGTGCTGATGAAAACCAGATATAAAAATATTATTGACAATTCACATGTACATCACAAATATAAAGCACACACATACGGTTTCACAAAACATAGGTTGCTATAAAAAAGCATCATAAGACAAGTGTCATAACTTTGGAAGACAGCTATGTTCACAATTATACCACCAACACCACTCCAACACCACTTGATGTCTTAATTTTGCTTTGTAGTTTTCCTAGAAATATATGTCTTTGTATGTATGTGGCCATGTATTCAAATATATGTACGTGTGTGTATATACGTATACACGTATATATAATAGTTTACATTATGTATCTCTGCTTTAATTTGTTTAGTCATAAATCTGAACTATCAGTACTTATTTTAGTATTACCAAAAAATAAACCTGACAGTAGGTAATTGTTTTTATGGAATTAGAACAAAAATTGGGTTTAATTTCTCTTTTCAGTTTAAAAGTAATGTCTAAAAAAAAGCATTTTGTAAAGGCTGGACAATTATCTGATCAATGCTACATGTATATTTCCATATTAATCCTCTTTGACAAATGATGTTAACATTCCTTCATCACTAATAATTATGACTTTTGTCTGAGTTTCCCAGATGATATTATTTACTTCATTTTACTTTTTTCTTAGAAGATATAAAAATATCTGTGTATCTGGAAACACTGAAATTAATTATTATGTTGGAAATCAACGATGCTAATTTGGAATCAGAGATTTTTCTAAATTATTTACTCTCTGAACTTCAAAAAATATAAATGCTTTATTTTGATGAAGAAAGTTCCCTCAAGGTACCGTTAGCCATTAACATTGTTTCATTCAATAGGCAAGTAAAATATTTATAAACAAAGGGGAGAAATATTATTTATATTTGTGTTCATGAAAGTAAGACTTTTATAAATAGACAAACATGTCTTGAAGGCAAGACTATGATTATGGTATACACCACAAAGCATCGTAAACAATGAAAAAACTAAACAGTGTAAGGATATTCTTATGAAAGAACTGCTTCAATTGGTCCTGACATTTAAACCAGAACCAGAAACCAATTGAGCAAATGCCTTGAGCAGTTTCCTTTGTACTGACGCAGGGCACAGTCACAGCTTGACACAGGTGAGATTGTTTTCAGCTCATATTTACTGTTGGATACATTTTATAAGGTAACATTAGAGACCTGTTTCTAGAAAAGAACGAAAAGTGCTCACTTTGCAAATATTAGTCATGAATAAGGCACTTGGGTCATTTATGCTTTCCTTTTTTTTTTTTTTGGCAAAATTTAAGATGGGATATGTTCCCATATATTCCTATCCTTACTCATCTAATATCAACTAACTACTTTCTATCATTTCTATTCCAAGTTTCTTTTTGGGGGTGAGAATAATTAAAGTAATTATACCACTAAAATGCAGCTTGAATTATGAAAATATATTATCGAATAAGAATACCTCATATTTTTCACACATAAATATATGTATTTATTTTAAGATATTTGTTAAAAAGAAAAATATTTCCCCATTCATGATATGACTACGATGTATCTGAAGGACTCTGTTTTTCATTGATATTATGGAGTAGATGTAGAAACAATACTTAAAATATCAAGTACTAAATAGACTTGTTTTCCCTTTAATAACATTCTGTGTTTTCATTTTATGTGACTTCCCACTCTAATGGCCGATAGTACATGTAGAGTTATAATAATACTTATGTTACTCGAGTAGATGCAATCATACCTCAGCTTTGTTTTCAGAGGAATCATCTCAGTTGGTGAGTTTCCAATAACAGCAACATAGGACACCGTTCAATATTATAAAGTTTAAATCAGATTTATACTTTAGGCTATTTGTACCTTTCCATGCCTTTTAATTCGGTGTTGTCTTGAGGCATTTCACTGTATATCCAGTACTGGTGTTTAAAGGAAAGTTATTAAAGTTTGGAATAAGAGTACCTGAATTGGAATCTTGCTTTGCCATTCACCAGCTGTTTGTCCTTAAATTCTCTCAGGTAATCTGTAGCCTTAAGAATTAAAGGTGACTTCTGTATGTCACGTAGTTTACCTGGCATCCATTATTTCTGAAGTTGTTAGGATTATTGCAACTACTGTTGTTGTTACTATTTTTAGATTAATATATTTCCTTTCTAGATTTCCATTTAAAATATATTTAAAGAATCATAAAAATTAAACACAAGCAACATCCTTTTATATTCTGCACAGTTCTTAGCAGAATTATAGACTCAAAAAAGACACACAGAATAGGCCACAATACATGTGCCAATTTTTGTTCTCAATCTTAAAATTACATAGTATAATTATTATGGTTATCTGAAAACAATTCTCTCTTATAAAAGAGCAGTTACTTCTTAATGAGGAAAGTCAAGGGGTACCTGCGTATTTGCCACCAGAAATACATACCACACAATGATTTAGCTGTGACTGTACTACTTCCTGTTCCACACTCTTTGTTTCCAATGCAGGCAAGTGCATCTTCACTTCATCTAAAATCATCTTACTTTCTTGTAGACGCTGCTCAAAATTGGCTGGTTTCTGGAATAATCGAAACTTCATGGAGACATCTTGTAATTTTTTCTGTAAGGACAGTGTAAAAAGGCACTGATTTAATTTTGCCTTTCAAACAATAACTGGTCCTATTTTTATTGATAGATCTGCCTTTATTTCTGAAGATATACAGAAAAATAAAAACAAAATAAAGCAGTATTTTTCCATTCATCCAACACAGGAAAACATACATTTGGGAGAATGATTCAGTAGTTTTTTCTTAATGTTATACTAAATAAAAGGTAATTTATTAACCTATTTTATCTTTAAAATGTAGAGAGCAAAACACTCATTGTTTAGACATCAAATTATAGTTTTCAAATAATGTCCTCAAATCCAATCTTGCCAATAATCAAGTTGTCCAATATAGACTGGAGTATAATGCCCAACGAAAACACGTTCCTTAGTTTCTGAAATAACATATACCTGTGCAACATCAATCTGAGACAGGACTCTTTGGGCAGCCTCCTTCCCCTGATTATGTTTCTTCATTTCTTCTAAACTGATCTCATGACTTGTCAAATCAGATTGGATTTTCTGTTGGGAGGATAGCATTATTAGTCAGCATGCTCTACAAAGAACAACTAACTTTCCAAGAAGACGAAATTCAGAAACTCTCCTCAACCACCTCTACCATGTAGCTTCCTTTAAAATGACCGTAAATTGGCCAAGAGTGGTGGTTCACACCTGTAATCCTAGCACTTTGGGAGGTCGAGGCAGGTGGATCACCTAAATAGAATTATCATAAATATTTTTTACTTTCATAAATTATCCAAGTGAAACGATTTATTTCTTCCCTATGGGATTATTATGAAAAAAGCAATAATCATTTTGAGTCAATATCAACTATTTCAGATATCATTTTCAATAGGTAATTTATATATTATATGTAGAATTGATATGTTTTATCTTTGAAGTCACACTCAAATCGGACCAAAGACATGATGTTAATCTGTAAGATTCAGCCAACTGTGACAGGGATGAGATATAATGAGAAAATTGCATGTGGAAAATACTCCTTAATTACCTTCTTTTTATTTTATTTTATTTTATTTTGTAGAGGCAGAGTCTTGCTATGTGACCCAGCCTGGTCCCAAACTCCTGGTCTTAAGCAATTCTCCTGTCTCAGCCTCCCACAGAGCTGTGATTATAGGCGTGAGCCACTGTGCCTGGCCTTAGTGTAGTCTACTCAGTCATTATGTGCCATATTTCAGTTAAATTTCAGGGAAGCTATGAATCTAAGAAATGGAAGTCAAATGCCCCAAACAGGTATTGCTATTTGTCTGATAGATATTTGATGGCTTCCGGCAGATACTGATTGTGAATTTTAGATAACTATAAAACATTTCAATATTTATATATTCAATAAAGACATTTTCGATCAAGTTCTATAGTAAAGTATATTCTGCATTTAACATATGAATTTCTGAGCCAGTTATAGGCAGGGATCTCTGCAGCATGTGGACACGAACACAATACATTTATTTATTTATTTCTGTCAAATCCATACAAAATCAGCTAGCGGTCAAATCATTCTAATTTAAAATTCAGTCATTATTAGATTATTATAATTTAGAGCAGAAACTAAATTATACCAGAGTGCCCATAACATTATCATGCAGATCATTTTGCATAACGTATATTAGTGTAAGTGAATTTACACCAATTGGAGTAAATTCTGATACATATCATTAGAAGATAACATCAGTTTTGCTTAGCAGTTTCCAGAGCGAACTATAGCCCTGAACTGAGTAATGAGAATTATACCAAGAACATGGACTAAGTGGTTAAGGAGCTCCTTATGCAAGGTTATAAATTCACAGATGTACCTCAATATTATTCCTTAGAATATTAATCCTAACAATTATAGAGGCAAATCAATTATGAATTACCTAAATAGTTAGAATTCTGCCTTAAAACAAATGAGAGCAAATACGCATATAAATGTATCTTATTTTATTACCATATCGATGATCTTCATTGGTTGAATAACTACCTTGTGTGAGAAATATTGATATGTTTCGTGAACCTAGAATCTGGGAGTAGGGATCCATCTAGGTGCATGACGTTATTTATAGAGCAAGAAACATCACAGAATCTATAAAATTGGATGGAAGTATGCAGGGTGGAGTGATGCTTGTACGGAGGATGTCATAAGGGAGTTGATGTTAAAGTAGAACTTTCAATAATTAGTAAGCATTGCTGGGAGTAACAGATGCTTTAGAGGGGTTATGGCTAGGGCCTTTCATCTTGGAAATGTTAATCCTCCTCAAAAAGGTGGGCCAGTAACAACCATGTCTGTGCCACGTAATTCTGGCCAACTCCATGTTATGGGTGATCAGAATACACACAATGCTTGTGTTAAGAGAGAATCATCAGAATCTCTCTCAGAAAATTAGAATTGACAGAAGAGTCTGGTCAAACTGTGAGTGCTTCGAATTGTGTCACATATACTAGCAAATTGTGCTTACGAAGTCCCTAGTTTGCAGAGTGGATTGAGGAAGAGCAAAGGTCCATGAACAGAGAGAGAAGAAAGAAGTAGATGCATAGGGAGTGAGGTGGTAACAAAAACACTGATGGCTTCCAATGCGGTATGGCTTTATTTATTTATTTAGTTAGTTATTTATGTTTTGAGATGGAATCTCGCTCTGTCACCCAGGCTGGAACGCAATAGCACGATCTTGGCTCACTGCAACCTCCGCCTCCCAGGTTCAAGCGATTCTCCTGCCTCAGCCAACCAAGTAGCTGCGATTACAGGTGCCCACCACCATGCTCAGCTAATTTTTATATTTTTTAGTAGCGACAGGGTTTTACCATGTTGGTCAGGATGGTCTCGAATGCCTGACCTCAGGTGATCCACCTGCCTCGGCTTCCCAAAGTGCTGGGATTACAGGTGTGAGCCACCGTGCCCAGCCCGTAGATAGCATTTTCGAAAGAGGGCTGCAATAATAGCTCCCACAGCACATGCTCCTCTTACCACTCCCTCAACAAGAGGTGAAGTTTATTTCTTCAGCTCTTTAAATCTGGGTTGACTCTTTGACTGCTTTGACCAATAGAATATAGTCCAAGTGCCAGTTATGGCAAAAGTCCTTAAGTGGCCTGGCAGCTTCCACGTCTATCTTTTTAGAACAGTCATTCTTAGGGTGCTCCCTTTTAGAATCCATCCAACATATTATGCTCTGAGAAAGCTAAGTAACATCGAAAGGCCATGGATAAGTGCTTCAGCAACAATCACAACAAGGCTTTCAGCCAACAACTGCTAGGCATGTGAATGAGTGATCTTGGACGTTCAGCCCAGTTGAGCATTCAGGTTACTATAGTATCAGACAACAATGGACTAAAATCACATAAGAAACCACAAAAGAGAACCATCCAGGTGAGCTTTCTCAACACGCAAAACCATTAGTGGGAATAATAAATGGCTATCATAAATAACCAAAACACAGGCATTAGTCCCTTCTTGAGTCAAAACTTTATTACTGCCCTTGGATTCTATGACACATTCCTGTTTCCATATGAAAAACCTTTCTCTCTCATTTGTTTTGCTTTAGTTACTTCAATTTTGTTACTTCTAAATGAGAGTCCTAAATACTGTATATGCATACTGGATACGCAAGGATATAGGAGTTGTAAAAACAAAAGCATTTCTGGTTGAAGAGAGACAAGGTGTGGAGACAGGGCACTGAAGAGCATAAGGAGTTTGGCAAAATTTAACAAGAAATGTAGGTAGAAATCAGGTATTAAATAACTTTATGTCCCAAATGAATGGTTACCACTATTTTGATCACGAAGATAAATTTCAAAATTTGAAATTGATCATAATCACAGATAACAGTAGTTTTATTGCTAATATTTGATCCGATAACTAAGGAAATTCATAGGGAGGAAATGCGACTGTAAATCAGCAGTATGTTGAAGTGAGTTTGCATTTTAATAATCACTATGTGTGTCTGTACAGAGAGAAAGAGGGAAACAGGGTACATTTGTATAATATGTATTTTTTCAGTGTTTTCAAGCGTTAGAGGAAAGCAGAAAGAGAGA
Source organism: Homo sapiens (assembly GCF_000001405.40). NCBI lineage: Eukaryota > Metazoa > Chordata > Mammalia > Primates > Hominidae > Homo > Homo sapiens. The sequence goes on from NC_000023.11 coordinate 32,393,686, forward strand.
ACAAAGAGAGAACCATGGAGAACACAAATTTAACTGACATGGAAAGAAAAGCACCAAATAAAGAGAAAGAACAGTCAAAGAGAAAGAAAAGAAGAACTAGAAAAGAGAGAAAATCTCACATCAATTGATGTGAGAATTTTAAGAATGAGAGAGAGAGGTCAACAGTGACAGTTTGAGATAGGTTCAATGGGATCAATAGTAATCAGGGTACATGAGCTCGTCAATGACCATTGCAGCTAGAAGAGAGAAGTGGATGACGAGAGCAGAAATCGTATTTTCAAGGGCTGGCCTGATTAAGGATCAAGGAGCACTCTAATAAAAATAGTTTAAATTACTTTTGCAGACTTTTGTCTCCACACATAATAAAATTCAGGTCAATCAGACTTGAACATACTTTAAGGCTACATGAAAGAAGCCAACACATAAAGTGATTTTTTTTAAATGTAAGAAGATAAACTTGATTTTAAAAAAACCTGTTTAAAGCAAGAAAACCAGAGTGAAGCACAAAGCTCAGGGCCAACGGAAAATATCAACAGGAGGAGAGGTGGCTCTTTTTCAGAAAACAAAAGTAAGATGTGAAGACGCAAGAAGTTGAATGCTTCCTACATGGTGCTCTCAGAGTATCAGGGTGAAATCATGTTAACAGTAACCAGGATTTAAATTTCAGGGCTCTCTCTTGCCACCTTGGGCAAAGCATCAACATGTTCTGAACCTTGATTTTCTCATGTCTAGCCCAAGAATGATAATAGCAAGCCAGCAATGAAGTTTTCTTATCTGAGAAATTCTCATTTCTTCAGTAGTCAACTACATTGGTTTTGGTCAAAAAGATCAGATGTGACAGTATATGTAAAAATACCTGTCCATGTTATTTGCACAAATATTTAGTTATAAGTTATCAGCGATATAACATGTCATTTCCTCGTAAGCACAAAACCCTAGGTATCTGCTGAGGATGAGAGGAGAGAATCAAGGTGGAATTTAAATCAAAGTGATAAAAGTTCAATAGCAATTGTGGAGACTGTGAAAGGAAACTGATTTAAAAAAATAAGAATACACTCAGAGAGGGTAGAGGGCCCAAATTATACATCTGTAATCATATCTGTGTACATGTATTTAAAAGTTTTTCCATCCCCTTAGCCTCCAAGGTTAGTAGAGGAAAAAATGAAGTATACACATAGTCCTTTAACCTTTTATACCAGAGTGGTCAAAGAAGAGCAAAAAACAAAAAAACAAAAAAAAAAAAAAAAAGAAAAGAAATCATCATCAGTATCCTCACCACCACAGATATTTGTGGGAACTTATGTGCTAACACTTTATATAATTAATTCCATCTCCTAATCATATTAACATAAGTATTTATCATCTTCATGTACAAATGAAGGTAGAAACATCAACATGCCCAAGGTAACATAACTAGGAAGTAACAAACTTGCTGCCCTCTAACAATTATACTGCCTCTTTAATTATGATTTTAAAATAAAAGTATCCTCCAAATGGACATTTGTGAGAAAAAAAGAAATTTAATCTTATTCGTATGTTGATAGCATTTAGTCAATTTAATTCAACAAATCGTTCAGCTTCTACTACTCAATTCCACACAGTGAGAACAAAATTGTTGCCCCTATACTTACAGAAGCCTTATTTTAAGAGGCAGACTGTAGATATATAAGTAAATTACAAAGCAGAAATATATGCAATGTAATAGAAAAACTAACATCACACACCAGGGCCTGTCGTGGGGTGGGGGGAGGGGGGAGGGATAGCATTAGGAGATATACCTAATGTAACTGACAAGTTAATGGGTGCAGCACACCAACATGTCACATGGATACATACGTAACAAACCTGCATGTTGTGCACACGTACCCTAGAACTTAAAGTATAATTTAAAAAAATTTTAAAAACAGAAAAACCCATGCTCTGTGATCAGAAAGATAAATATTAATATCTGCTGTATAATCTGGTGATTTTTAGGAAATTTACATGATTTAACTAGCATATGGCTGAGAAAGGGTTTTGGAGGGTCAGAGAATAAGAATATAGGATCTTATTTTAGGCTGTAGGAAACAAGCTAGCAAAGATTAGGCTTGGGGCATGCAGAGTGTGTGTGCTTAATTTAATGGGAGGAAAGACTGAATGTGAGTTAGTAAGAATTACTATCTAGATGAGGAATTAGTATGAAGCTACAGAACCTTAAGTTTCAGTGCCTCTCACTTGCAAGAGACCCTTCTATAAACCAGCATTTAATTTTCTATTTATAATTTTTTTTTTCAAAGACTGCCCCTGGAAATTCTAGAAGCTCAGCATTACAAAGCAAAGCAAAGATAGCGTAAGTGATCACTGCAACACAGGCCTTCCTGATAAGTTCCACATTTTCCCAAATGAGTCATATTGTTGTCATAAGTCATAAATAATAGGAACAACAACAGCTTACATATAACCAAACACTCGACTTTTATCTGTTGGCAGGGGACATGAAGGACCAAGTAACCTGTGAGAGGAATGTTGGGCAATTTGGAGCTCAAGGCAAAGCATTCCATGGAATTTGAAATATACATATTTCCATTAAATAGTTAGAAAAACTGTTGAGGATGAGCTTCTGTGTTTTTAGAAAGGTCGCCACCACTAAAATTATTAACATTGAAAAAAATCATCATTGAACATCATATAAAAGTGAGACTTTTATCATAATGTATAGGCATTTCTAGTGAAATTCGCATATTTGTAGTACTGTTCCAATATGATTAGAGATAAAATTTTCTTTATGCATTGAGTAGATTATGCATTAAAAAGAACTCAGTGGTTAAACATATTTTGGAAATTGAAGATGAACATGTGTCTATACCACAGAACTTCTCAGAATATTTATTAATATATATTGTGTATATCCAAGAATCATACAACACTTTGTAGATGTTATCCTTTTGCTTTTTTTTGCCAGAGTGCATCATACAAGTAGATTTGGAAAAAGGCTATCAAATATACTTAACATATTCATTAATAATAATTCAATTCATTACTAAAATTATAAAATAAAATGTCTTTATATTTCCAATTGATTCTACTATGGGTAAGCTGTAAAACATGCATGACACATATTTGCCAGCATCTTTACACATTAATTCCACAAAATTTACATTTAAATTGTAATTAACTTTTAGCTTGTACTTAGGATATCTTTTACCAGCTACTTTACCTAACCTCGTCAGAACTGTATTCTGGAACCACATAAGTAAAAAATGCTTAGCACTTTAGCGCAGGCTTATTGTGAAATAGAAAAGTAACTTGTACAAATAACAGAATATTATTGAAACTTCTGGGAAGAACAATCTCCTATGTAAAAATCACTCATAAAAAAAGACAATGTAATCATTTTCTTTTTTGACATTATGAGAATATGATGAAAGAAAATAAAATTGTGGAAGAAAACATTGGGGATAGAAGATTCAATCTGAAGGAAAATGATCTCTCTACTTGTCTACTAGATTTCTAAGTTGTCCTAAAGATGTGAGGGATGTATAATTTGAGTTATATTTTCACCTAATATATACATCTAGGGGGATATGGATAGTAAGCATTTGAAGAAAACAAATAAGCCAACCACATACAACTATTCTTGTGAAATTATCAGCCTGGCTTCGTATAAAATCAGTAAACTCTAATGGAAACAAAGTGAGAGGACATAGCAAATCACGGATACTGATGTGAACACTCACATATGCTCTATGAGGTGTTCTCAATCCAGTACCTTTCAGAATCACTAGATTTTCTTCATCAAAGTCAAGTAATATAAAGCAAATTATATCATCTTTCCATTATATTAAAAAAGACATTTGAGCTTATCTCAACATTCCATTATAAAAAAGGCATTTGAGCATGCAGTAACTATGTTCACAGCACTATATATTCAAAGTAGGAAAATAAAACAAGTGAAATCGAATTAACCATTTTTCCATTGAATATGGTAAAGGGCAAAATTATAGAACCAAAAAATCATTCAAACATTAATCACATTTTAAATATAGGACTTTACAGTTAACTGAGCAGAGAGCAGGGCTGTTTTTAAAATCTTGCTTTACCTCATCAAACCATTCTCATATATATAGTAACAGAAAATGGCCAGCAAAATTATACTGCAGCAGGCTAAAGTACTTAACAGAATGAAGAAAATGATATCAAATAATTATTGGAGTTTCTGTGGTGTCAAAGAAAGGAAAAATTTAGAGAAAATAAGAAAATATTTTAGTAAAAGATATTAAAATACTTCATGTTGAGACTACTGATTGATGGAGGAACGTACCACTGTTAGATTAGTAATTTTGAAAGAGCCAGTAATTTTGAAATTGCTATTTTCAAGAAAGGGAAATGGCCACATATCACACGTACTTAGAAAACGAAAGAAACAAAATATATCAAAAGATTTGGGATGATATGTACTTTCCAAAGATAGGAAAATGCAAGAAATATAATTATTTTCATAGAAAAAAAATGTTGAAAAGTTTCAGGTTATACTTTATAATAATTCAACAAGTAAAAAAAGAAGAAATTCACACAGCTTTGTACTACTCTTTTTTTAAACCCCCCCCCCCAAGTAGAGTTACTTAGAAAAATATTACCTTTAAATTAAATTTTGTCAGCTAAAGAAGTTTTGACTTTTATCAGAAATATGCAATAGGCCAAAGGAAACAGTCTATTTCAGTGTCTCCCCTACATTGTTCCTTGACATATGAGTTTTGTGGTATATCAACATATTTCTGGAGGAAAAAGTGTCTGTGGCTTCTTATCAAATTTAGGTTAAACTTTTATTTTTGAAAATACAAAAAAGTGGGTCAAAAATCTCCAGCAGAGAAGTAAAGCATATAAATTTTTCTGCGTAATCTTGACCACAGAACCGTTTAAAAATAAAAAATTGGACATTGTGTATAATTATTACTTGTAATATACCTGAGAAACGATGTTACGCTTAGTCATAATAACGACAACGATAATAGAAGAGTTCATTATAATAATGTATTTTCTAACAAAGACATTCTTCACAGAAATAGAAAAAACAATCTTAAAATTTATATGGAACTGCAGCAGACCCAGAATAGCCAAATATATCCTAAGCAAAAAAGAATGAAACTGGAGGAATCACTTTACCTAACTTTAAATTATACTACACAGCTATAGTAACCGAAACAGCATGGTACTGGCTTAAGCGCAAACACACAGCCCAATAGAACAGAATAGAGAACACAGAGATAAATCCATACATCTACAGGGACCTAATTTTTGACAAAGTGCCAAGAACACACTTTGGGGAAAGGAGTCCTTCAATAAATGGTGCTGGGAAAATTGGATATCCAAATGCAGAATAAAACCAGACCTCTATCTTGAACCGTATACAGAAATCAAATCAAAATGGATTAAATACTTAAATCTAAGACCTCAAATTATGAAACTACCACAAGAAAACTTTGGGAGAAACCTCCAGAACATTGGTCTAGGCAAGAAATTCTTGAACCATACCACACAAGCACAGGCAACCAAAGCAAAAATGGACAAATGGTAACACACCAAGTTAAAAATCTTCTTCACAACAAAGCATACAACCCACAAAGTGAAGAGACAACCCATGGAATGGGAGAAAATATTTCCAAACTACCCATCTGACAAGGGATCAATAACTAGAATATATAAAGAGCTCAAACAACTCTATAGGAAAAAACTAATAATCTGATTAAAAATGGGCAAAATATCTGAATAGACTTTTTTTTGAAAGAAGATAAATGACAAACGGGTATATGAAAAGGGTCTCAATATCACTGATCATAACAGAATAGTAAATCAAAACCACAGTGAGATATAATCTCACTTCAACTCAAATGGTTTTATTTATAAAACAAGCAATAACAAATGTTGGCGAGGATATGGAGAAAAGGGAACCCTCATACACTGCTGGTAGGAATGTAAACTAGTACAACCACTATGGAAAACAAGTTTTGAGATTCCTCAAAAAACTGTAAACAGAGCTACCATACAATCCAGCAATCCCACTGCTGTGTATATACCCAAAAGAAAGAAAATCAGTACACTGAAGAAATATCTGTACTCCCGTGTTTTATTGCGGCACTGTTCACAAAAGTCAAGATTTGGAAGCAACCTAAATGTCCATTAAAAAACGAATGGATAAAGAAAATATGGTTTTCTAGATATACAATCATGTCATCTGCAAACAGGGACAATTTGACTTCCTCTTTTCCTGATTGAACACCCTTTATTTCCTTCTCCTGCCTAATTGCCCTGGCCAGAACTTCCAACACTATGTTGAATAGGAGTGGTGAGAGAGGGCATCCCTGTCTTGTGCCAGTTTTCAAAGGGAATGCTTCCGGTTTTTGCCCATTCAGTATGATATTGGCTGTGGGTTTGTCATAGATAGCTCTTATTATTTTGAAATACGTCCCATCAATACCTAATTTATTGAGAATTTTTAGCATGAAGCGTTGTTGAATTTTGTCAAAGGCTTTTTCTGCATCTATTGAGATAATCATGTGGTTTTTGTCTTTGGCTCTGTTTAGATGCTGGATTACATTTATTGATTTGCATATATTGAACCAGCCTTGCATCCCAAGGATGAAGCCCACTTGATCATGGTGGATAAGCTTTTTGATGTGCTGCTGGATTCGTTTTGCAAGTATTTTATTGAGGATTTTTTCATCAATGTTCATCAAGGATAATGGTCTAAAATTCTCTTTTTTGGTTGTGTCTCTGCCCGGCTTTGGTATCAGAATGATGCTGGCCTCATAAAATGAGTTAGGGAGGATTCCCTCTTTTTCTATGGATTGGAATAGTTTCAGAAGGAATGGTATCAGTTCCTCCTTGTACCTCTGCAGCCAAAAAACACATGAAAAAATGCTCATCATCACTGGCCATCAGAGAAATGCAAATCAAAACCACAATGAGATACCATCTCACACCAGTTAGAATGGCAATCATTCAAAAGTCAGGAAACAACAGGTGCTGGAGAGGATGTGGAGAAATAGGAACACTTTTACACTGTTGGTGGGACTGTAAACTGGTTCAACCATTGTGGAAGTCAGTGTGGCGATTCCTCAGGGATCTAGAACTAGAAATACCATTTGACCCAGCCATCCCATTACTGGGTATATACCCAAAGGACTATAAATCATGCTGCTATAAAGACACATGCACACGTATGTTTATTGCGGCACTATTCACAATAGCAAAGACTTGGAACCAACCCAAATGTCTCACAATGATACAATGGATTTAGAAAATGTGGCACATATACACCTTGGAATACTATGCAGCCATAAAAAAGGATGAGTTCATGTCCTTTGTAGGGACATGGATGAAGCTGGAAACCACCATTCTCAGCAAACTATCTCAAGGACAAAAAACCAAACACTGCATGTTCTCACTCATAGGTGGGAATTGAACAATGAGAGCACATGGACACAGGAAGGGGAACATCACACACCGGGGACTGTTGTGGGGTGGGGGGAGGGGGGAGGGATAGCATTGGGAGATATACCTAATGCTAGATGACGAGTTAGTGGGTGCAGCGCACCAGCATGGCACATGTATACATATGTGACTAACCTGCACAATGTGCACATGTACCCTAAAACTTAAAGTATAATAATAAAAAAAAGAAAATATGGTACCTATACACAATACAGTACTATTCAGCCATAAAAAGAATGACGTCCTGTCATTTGCAATAACATGGATGGAATTGTACGTTATTACGTTAAGTGAAATAAGCCAGTCACAGAAAGACAAACATCCCATGTTCTCAGTTATTTGTGGGAGCTAAAAATTAAGATAATTGAACTATGGAGATAGAGAGTAGAAGGATCCTTACTAGAGGCTGGGAAGGGTAGTCAGGGGTTGGGGAGGAAGTGGGGATGGTTAATGGGTACAAAAATTAGAAATAATGAGCAAGACCTAGTATTTGCTAGAACAGGATGACCATAATAAAAAAGTAATTTGAGTCTACATTTTAAAATAAACTAAAAGAGTACAACTGAATTTTTTATATCACAAAGGATAGATGCTTAAGGTGATAGACACCCCATTTACCCTGATTTGATTGCTACGCATTGCATGCCTGTATCAAAATATCTCATGTAACGTTTATACATCTACTACGTGCCTACAAACATTGAAAATAGAAATAACGTATTTTCAAGTAATTATGGTTACTTTTCAAAATAGATAAATGAGTAAATCAAACTCTAGGGAACATTTTGGAATGCTGCCTAGAAATAATTGGGAGATTGTACTTCTAGGTTAATTTTCACTTAATAAAGGGCTAATTATTAAAGTGGAGAAAGCAGATCTGAGTTAAAATATCAGCTTCAGTAAAAATGCTTTAGCATTAAAATTCATTAAATGGAATAGAATGTAAACAATGGGAACATTATGATATTACTATGTAAGATCTTGCGGACATCAGTAGGCCATCAATAAATATCTACCATTTAAGTTAATTCCAGGTTATTTAACAACATTCATCACATTTCACCCTTTGCTATGCATCAAAATAATGGAGTGAAAAAGTTGATGGTAACCTTAAATTATCTTTTTAAATATATAATAGTAATTGATATATTCTCTATTCAATAGGGTTTTAAAAACAACTTTGAGGTACAATTTACATACCATAAAATTTTCATTTTAAACATATAGTCAATGAACAATAGGAAATTTATAGAGTCATGTATATATCACCACAATCCAACTTTAGGACATTTTTTATTAACCCCTAAACCTGTGTGTCCATTTTCATTCACATCCTGTTCTCAACCCATGCCTCAACCATTCATCTAGTGTTTTCAAATATTCCCTTTTAAACACAACTTTTATACTTCATTAGGCTGCTGTAATTACCAAATAACGTGAATGCTTTCAAAATATTAGATATTCACATGGTATAATCCTTAAAAACTAGGTAATACATAAAGAGGCTAAAATATATATTTTCCATCAGTCTTTCCTTTTCATGTGAAGAGTTCCATTTTATACTATTCAAAGTATTTTGGAAAGGTTTTCAGAGCTTCAAAGTTGGGCAATCATAAGGCATTATGACAAGAAGTCTTTATGATACTATTAAGTTCCATTGGAAAAATGGTTCTTCACTATTATGGTAAACGTAAGTGGCCAGCAATTTCTAAATTTTATCTTTCTTTGGTGCTATCTAATGAGTGGCAAGATGGCAAGGACCACGTTAGGCTTATTCACATTTTAAATTTTACACTGCCTATCACATTTGTCTGACACATACTTAGTGACTAAACCTCAGTGGAATTCAATAAATTTGCCAGCTATTTGTTAGAAATCTGCTGGGTGGCCCACGGTCTTACAGCTGAACTTTAGTGGTTAGAGAATGGGAATAGACGGGGAAAATTTTTAAAAAGCAAATAAAAGATTTAACAATCACGATAAACGCTGAAAGAAAAATAAAACATAGTATGTTATGCTAAGTGTTATCTGGCTGTGCATTTTAGATCGATAAATTTTCTGTGTGCTATCTTTGAAGTAAATATTCATTTGCATAAGACAAAATTGGGAAATAATAGGATAAATTTGGATCACTTCAAAATATTCAGAGTGTTGCAATAGTGTTCACTGTGGCTGTAGCGTGAAGTTATTAGACTGGTGCAAAAGTAATTGCAGTTTTTGCCATTAATTTTAATAATTTCATCCTTATATGTAGAATTTGTAGATAGATTTTTACAAAAGCATACTATAGTTTAATTGCAGTCTTAAAATGTACACATCAAAATAATATGAAAGAAATCTATATCTTTATCATATAGCCAGTGAGGACATAATAATGTACAGGTTGTCCAAGTACAGTCAGTGACGTGTGGCAAGTTTCTAGTATTTTACATTTCCTACAACTTGTGTTTATGACTGTTTCCCACACTATTAAACATATGAAACTAACAAGTTATTCTTAAATGGAGAGTAATAAGTTCTGTATAGCAACACATAGGGGTGGCCTTTCAATGTTAGAACAGATTCAAAATTAAATGCACTAGGTTTACCATCTACTGGGCTGTGTAAAAAGAAAATAAAAAGTCTACATCTATGGCTAGATAGGTTTTAATATTTGAACCCAAATCTCTGGGTTAGTTCTCCATTTTTTTCTTCTTTGACTAAATTATCCAATTACCACATAAATTCCCCTTTGCAGGTTTCTGCTGTCTAACTCATAAATCAATAAAGCAGACTGTAAAGTTACACTGTTCCAAGTCGTTTGGCAATCAAATATGCCTATTTACACTATAAGAGTCTGTTTTATTCCTTAATGAAATCAAAAGCTCAATCTGATAGACCAAAATCTGCAGTTATATCTTTATTTTTAAGCCATTGATTTTGATAGCTTGGAATGTTAACATTTAAAGATGACCGATTATATTTAATGTGAGTTATAAGATTTAGCTTCTTTGATAAACACGGGAAGATTGCAATTACGAATTCTTCTTAAAGTGCATTTAACGTAATTAGTTTAAATTAATAGCTTTCTTTGCTTTAAAAATCCCCTCTTTTCTAAATTGTACTCACATTGTTAATGGGAGGGAAAAAGAGAAGGAGGAAGTCTGGTCTGTAGTGGACTCTGGAACACCTGACGTCCTAGCTTGGTGAGCAAACCACGGCAGTATTTTTCAATATTTAATTATGAGGCACTCTTCTTTGAAGGTAATTTGTTTCCTTCCTCTATTCCTGCTCATAAATCTACTATGTGGGACACGAGGTTACAAAAAAATGAGATCAGAATTCTTTGGGAAAAAACAAATAGAACAGTAAAGCTACTGGAGCCACTGCTAAGCAACTCCGCTCTTGCTTGCAGTAATTTAAGCAACAGGGCCATGTTTTCCCCTACAAAATGTGCATCAACACATAAGGACATGGTGACTTTCAACAGGTGCCCATGTTGGGTTGTTCTTACATATCAAAGATTCAAAACTAAAATTAGTAGAAAAGGAAAAAAATCATGTATGTGAAAGTATCTTTGTAATTTTAAAAATTGCAAGACATTTAAGTAGCTATTTAAACATAGTTGTCACTGTCCCCTAAAATGATTAAGAGCCATATGCAAGTTAATTGACATGTTAACAAATGGGGTTAGAAAAAAATGAATTGAAGAAAGCCAAGCAGAGTTCAGCCTCAAACATCTATATTGAACATTCTTTTTGTCTAAATTAAAATTTGTGCGATAGCTCTCAGCTATATTTTCTTCCATCACCCATTTTCCATTAGAGGAAAAAATCAAAATAGGAGAGAATCTCACCAGTAGTTTGATTGCCACTCTGACTCCCTCCCATTGAAACGTTGACACAGTCATAGAAGAGAATCTTTATAGAAGAGTGATAGAAAATGTCGTATGAAAAATACTCTGGAACAATTTAGTCATTACTAGTAGGGAACCATCCAAAGCCATTCTCCAATTAGCTACACATTAGAATGAATAAAAAAGTTTCCAAAAATTCTGAAGACCAAATCCACCTAAAGATTTGATTTGATTGCTCCGGGGCTCAGCATGGTTACTTAGACTGTTGCTATAGGATTTTAGGTGCCAAAACTAAACTCTGTGCTTCAATATATAGTTCTGAAAAATTGAACAGTAAATGACTAAATTTGTTCCATGTGTTTCTTTGCAGTCACACAATTTCGTGATTTAATTTTTTATTTATTTCCAAGGAACACGCATAGGTTGTTACATTTTTAATCATAGTACTTTGGAAATAATCCTAGTTTCTGTTTTCTAAGATATATTTCCATATCTAGAAGAGTTTTCCCCATTTGCTTTATTCTGTTTCAATAAATCTTTTCTTAATTTTGTACTTTAATAAAATCTCTCATTAAATGAGCTGACACTGGGTAGATTGATGCTGTGGCCATATAATTTAATTTAAGACTGTGGTACCAGTACCATGCTGTTTTGGTTACTGTAGCCTTGTAGTATACTTTGAAGTCAGGTAGCATGATGACTCCAGCTTTATTCTTTTGGCTTAGGATTGACTTGGCGATGCAGGCTCCTTTATGGTTCCATATGAACTTTAAAGTAGTTTTTTCCAATTCTCTGAAGAAAGGCATTGGTAGCTTGATGGGGATGGCATTGAATCTATAAATTACCTTGGGCAGTATGGCCATTTTCACGATATTGACACTTCCTACCCATGAGCATGGAATGTTCTTCCATTTGTTTGTATCCTCTTTTATTTCATTGAGCAGTGGTTTGTAGTTCTCCTTGAAGAGGTCCTTCACATCCCTTGTAAGTTGGATTCCTAGGTATTTTATTCTCTTTGAAGCAATTGCGAATGGGAGTTCACTCATGATTTGGCTCTCTGTTTGTCTGTTATTGGTGTATAAGAATGCTTGTGATTTTTGCACATTGATTTTGCATGCTGAGACTTTGCTGAAGTTGCTTATCAGCTTAAGGAGATTTTGGGCTGAGACAATGGGGTTTTCTAGATATACAATCATGTCATCTGCAAACAGGAACAATTTGACTTCCTCTTTTCCTGATTGAATACCCTTTATTTCCTTCTCCTGCCTAATTGCCCTGGCCAGAACTTCCAACAGTATGTTGAATAGGAGCAGTGAGAGAGGGCACCCCTGTCTTGTGCCAGTTTTCAAAGGGAATGCTTCCAGTTTTTGCCCATTCAGTATGATATTGGCTGTGGGTTCATCATAGATAGCTCTTATTATTTTGAGATTTGTCCCATCAATACCTAATTTATTGAGAATTTTTAGCATGAGGGGTAGTTGAATATTGTCAAAGGCCTTTTCTGGATCTATTGAGATAATCATGTGGTATTTGTGATTGGTTCTGTTTATATGCTGGATTACGTTTATTGATTTGCATATATTGAACCAGCCTTGCATCCCAGGGATGAAGCCCACTTGGTCATGGTGCATAAGCTTTTTGATGTGCTGCTGGATTCGGTTTGCCAGTATTTTATTGAGGATTTTTGCATCGATGTTCATCAGGGATATTGGTCTAAAATTCTCTTTTTCTGTATATTACAAGGCTACAGTAACCAAAACAGCATGGTACTGGTACCAAAACAGAGATATAGATCAATGGAACAGAACAAAGCCCTCATAAATAATGCCACATATCTACAACTATCTGATCTTTGACAAACCTCACAAAAACAAGAAATGGGGAAACGATTCCCTATTTAATAAATGGTGCTGGGAAAACTGGCTAGCCATATGTAGAAAGCTGAAACTGGATCCCTTCCTTACACCTTATACAAAAATTAACTCAAGATGGATTAAAGACTTACATGTTAGACTTAAAACCATAAAAACCCTAGAAGAAAACCTAGGCATTACCATTCAGGACATAGGCACGGGCAAGGACTTCATGACGAAAACAACAAAAGCAATGGCAACAAAAGCCAAAATTGACAAATGGGATCTAATTAAACTAAAGAGCTTCTGCACAGCAAAAGAAACTACCATCAGAGTGAACAGGCAACCTACAGAATGGGAGAAGATTTTCGCAACCTACTCCTCTGACAAAGGGCTAATATCCAGAATCTACAATGAACTCAAACAAATGTACAAGAAAAAAGCAAACAACCCCATCAACAAGTGGGTGAAGGATATGAACAGACACTTCTCAAAAGAAGACATTTATGCAGCCAAAAGACACATAAAAAAATGCTCATCATCACTGGCCATCAGAGAAATGCAAATCAAAACAACGAGATACCATCTCACACCAGTTAGAATGGCGATCATTAAAAAGTCAGGAAACAACAGGTGCTGGAGAGGATGTGGAGAAATAGGAACACTTTTACACTGTTGGTGGGACTGTAAACTAGTTCAACCATTGTGGAAGTCACTGTGGCGATTCCTCAGGGATCTAGAACTAGAAATACCATTTGACCCAGCCATCCCGTTACTGGGTATATACCCAAAGGATTATAAATCATGCTGCTATAAAGACACATGCACACGTATGTTTATTGCGGCACTATTCTCAATAGCAAAGACTTGGAACCAACCCAAATGTCTCACAATGATACAATGGATTTAGAAAATGTGGCACATATACACCTTGGAATACTATGCAGCCATAAAAAAGGATGAGTTCATGTCCTTTGTAGGGACATGGATGAAGCTGGAAACCATCATTCTCAGCAAACTATCGCAAGGACAAAAAACCAAACACCGCATGTTCTCACTCATAGGTGGGAATTGAACAATGAGAACACATGGACACAGGAAGGGGAACATCACACACCAGGGAATGTTGTGGGGTGGGGGGAGGGGGGAGGGATAGCATTAGGAGATATACCTAATGTTAAATGACGAGTTAATGGGTGTAGCACACCAACATGGCACATGTATACATATGCAACTAACCTGCACGTTGTGCACATGTACCCTAAAACTTAAAGTATTAAAAAAAAAGACTGTGAATTGGCTAAGTGTTATCTTTTGAAATAAAATACTCCTAGGTCAACACATGCTGTTACATCCTGGCAGCATGCAGCTTTATTTTCTAAAAGTGTAAGCTTTGCTTCTGTAGGTAAGCTCATGTCACTAAAATAAGTAACATAATTTTAAATCCAATTCAGAATCTGAGGGCCCAGAGAAATAACTGATCAATTAACACACTAAGGAAGTGAGCAGCTCTTTTCTTTCCTATAGTAATAAATGCCAATGTGAATGTAAAGAAGCATCCTGATCTACATCTACTTTTATATATAACAAGAGTATGGTTGTCAGAAAGTTGTACATACAGTATGCATTTCCTTAGTGCCATAGCTTTTATATCTGAGGATCTCAAACGATCTTAAAATGCAGAAAAAATAATGCTCTAAAAGATTCAAATTAACTAGCAAAACTCTCAGTGCACCACACGGTGGAGTCAGACACCCACAAATCTGCGTGACCAGTATATGACAGAAAATCTGAGCAGGTATTTCAAAGAGGACTTAATATGGTAACTTCATACATTTTTTCCTGCTTCTCCGTGATGAATTAAGCTAAATATACCATTTATGAGAAAAGAAATTATAGTGCACTAATATTTTAATTAGCAATAACCTTTTTATCTTTAAGTGCAAATTTATAGAAACACATTTTTGTTAATACAATGCATTGAAGTTAGTCCCTATTCTATTCCTTTCTTTTCTTTCTTTCATCTATCTATCTATCTATCTATCTATCTATCTATCTATCTATCTATCCATCCATCAATCCATACATCCATCCATCTATCCACCCCATCTCTATATTTAAAATGTCATTTTGGTGGCATTCTTAGTGGATCCTTCATCTTACACACTGTGCTTATGTTATTTCACTATCTAACTTTTGACTCTCTATTTTATTTCATGGGAATTTCGAGCTGCTTTTCAGGAAATATAATCCTTGAAGCAAATCTGAGTACCTGAGAACTCTGTTCTAGAAAACAATTCACTTACTGCCATATTAAAATAAAACCCTGGAGCAGAAGAATGTTTTAAGAGCTTTCAGATGGCTTGTATTCTCCAATATTATGTATTACCATTGGGGAGACTCAATGTCAAGAACTATGTTGATAATGCAGGTGTGACCTGAAATGCATGGAAAATAGATTTGATCTGAATGCCCAAAATCTCTTTCTTGAAGTAGATCTGAAATTTCATAATTTATCTGTGTTCTGCTGTTTACTAGTACTTTTCTACTGATGTAGTTAATAACATTTTTATTGTAGTATTTTTTTAGAAAAACCAAGCAAAATATTTTGCTATTAAAAACAAGTAATGTTTATAAAATCCTGAATCCATTTCTAAATAAGAAAAAACACACAGTGCCCCTTATCACAACCTGTTCAACTAAAGATGCTTCGCCCTAAAAGCTCCAATTTTCCTTGAAAGACAATAGTATAATAGCTTTGCCTATCAAATTTGCTACTCATAATTTCATTCCGCAAGTCTGTCACAAAGTAATTCTTTATGCATTTTGAAGTACAAACTTGCAATATTAATGTCTAGTATTCATACTGCTCAAATTTTTCCTTAATTCCATTCAGAACGTCACAAGCATTTTTAATCAAACATTCCTTCAAAACTCATGTCATTAGTTTAAATGAAAGCAGTTCTACTCTGTATTTCATTTATAGTCATGTAGTTCTTCTCAATTCAGAAACAATTACTCATTCCTATCATGCATTTTACTAAACCCTGCCGTGGTAGACACACTAAATACCCTGACTTGATCATTACACTTTCTATACATGTAAGAAAATATTACATAAATGTTGTATCCATAAATATGTATAAATATTTTATATCAAAAAACCTTTTTCATTATGACTCAAACTGGGACGGACTTAGGAATAGTTAATTCTAGAGAACCTGGCTTGTGTAAGTTTGAAAAATATATATACTGGAGTAGGTTTGTATAAACCTATCACACTTACCCTCTAAAATATGTACAATCATTATATATCAAGACAAATTAAAAATTGAATCCTCAAGTATGTTTACTATTATCCCTCACTTCTACTACAATATTTACTCTTGTTGCCCAGTGGAAAACTATGATGAGGATTTTATCATCAGGATTCTCCCCAAAATTCTCTTTCTTCATCCACTATTGCAATTGTATGCACTCCATAAGGAAATAATATTCCCTGGACTTTTTAAGCCTATCAAAACTACCTATACTCTGCCACATATTATCAGGGACATTCTTGGTCAAAGTTAGACAATATGGTAAATTAACTCATGCTATTGTGTATACTGTTGCCCAGAACACCTATTAACGGTGATTCATTAACTGTAATTGCATTGTAACCATGATCTACAAATCTAATATATCACCCCCAAATTCATTTTAAAGTGAAAAACTTCAGACATCTTCACCAACTGGCAGGGAGAAGGCTTTGAGATTTGCAGCTAACCTTCTAGTGCTCCTCTCATCATAGCATGGACTTGGTGATTGGGTTCACAACATGTATATAAGATTTGAAAAGCAGATCTAGTAATTGCGATCACACAACCCTAAAGACTTTTGAATAAATAATACCTATGATAACTTCACATATGTTTAAATGTTAATTAAAAAATGAGAACAGCATTTTAAAAATACTTCTTACAGTGAATGTAAATTTAGTTATGGCCTAAAATTTACTCATTTAAAAGTCAACTCAGATTTATTTTCAACACTATTTTAATTCTCATTCTAGAAAAACAGGTAAACACGTTTTATATTTTCGTTTGAATGAAGCATGGGAGTGAGTGCATGTAGCTATATTGAGCATGATCATTAATAATTGAGGTGTAAATTTATATCGATAATTTTGTGTTACTCACTGCTTGTAACTAACACATTTTTATAAAACAATATAGACCATGTGACTAAACGAGGAGTTTATAATAAAATGTTTGAGACTGCTTTCCAACAATGCCATAGAAAATATTTTCTTTTTTTCTTTTTATAAGATAGAGTCTCGCTCTGTTCCAGGCTGGAGTACAGTGGTGCAATCTCGGCTCACTGCAACCTCCGCCTCCCGTGTTCAAGTGATTCTCCTGCCTCAGCCTCCCGAGTAGCTGGGATTACAGGCGCGTGCCAACAAACCTGGCTAATTTTTGTATTTTTAGTAGAGACAGGGTTTCACCATGTTGGCCAGGCTGGTCTTGAACTCCTGACATTGTGATTCGTGGGCCTCAGCATCCCAAAGGGCTGGGATTACAGGTGTGAGCCACCACACCCGGCCAAAAAACATTTTCTTTACCATTTACTATCCTATGGTTTTACTCTAGCTTTTAGTATAGTTTGAAGTCAGAAACACCAGAACGTATTGCTCCTGTCTTTGAAATGTCTTTATTTCAAATTCCTCCATTACATCCTTAAAAAAATAAATCTTAGACTAATGATCTAGACCCCCTTTTCTTCCTACCTACCTCCAAATAGTCAAATCAGTGAATCAAAACAACCCCATGGAAAACTAGTTGAATAAATTTAAAGTTAGAAACACTGCAACATTTTGTTGAAGTAATAAAAACAAAAGAATGGAAGCTGATTCCCAGATGTACTTGCCTGGGCTTCCTGAGGCATTTGAGCTGCGTCCACCTTGTCTGCAATATAAGCTGCCAACTGCTTGTCAATGAATGTGAGGGACTCCTGGATTAAGTGTAAGGATTTTTCAGTCTCCTGGGCAGACTGGATGCTCTGTTCAAGCAACTTTTGCCTCCTTACAGCCTAAAAAGAAGGAATAAGAGTGTATCAGTTAAATGTTTACTCTTGATAGCTTTTCTGTAATCCTGCTGAACAATAAATGAAGATTCTAGACTCTTCCACAATCACCTTTTTGTAAGACAGATTTCGCAGCTTCCTGGCACTCATTCAGCTCTGTTGATAGAAAAAAAATGTGAAGGAGAAAAATAAATAGCAAACAAAACTATAGGATCAGGGATCTCTGCATGAAAATCAATCACAATATCACGTACATTAAGGAAATAGGCTGGAAAAAAAATTAGCAAAATCATCTCAGTCATTGCAATCTGTCTTTCTCAGGTCGAATGTTCCTCCTGATCTCATTATATAGTTCAAGAGATTTGGTTTGCTTAGAATAGGGTCATCGTCATCACAATCCAATTCAAGACAGATAATCTGCTTCCACCAGTGAGATACATGTACAATCTGTTCAGAATCAGCTCCTTGTCAAAAACAGAATTTTAGATAACAGTCTGGTTAAAGATTTATTTTGAATACTATTTCAACCAGCTTTGCATGATCTTTTTTCTCCCTACTTTCTTTCACAATTTGGATTACAGAAATTGTTTGTACAATTGGGTTTATGTTACTGCTGAAGTAGAAAAAATAATAAGTAATCCTAATATAGCTGCAATTAATCTTGATTGTAACTATAAGTATGATTAGGATAATTCAATAATGTTCAAGTATAAATACCATGCTGCACAGATTGGAAAGTCTCCCTTCAAGGATCTGTTCACTTTTAACAGAGTAGTTGTAAAAGTAAGAAATAGGGCAGGCAACTTATTGGGAATTCATTATGTGTCATTTAAAATACATTTCCTTAATATACAATGTAAAGGCATGATTATCAGGTACAATATAACTTTCTTTCCCACAGAGCATGACTGAGGTTTTAAGATGATCTTGGTTTTTATATTATATATAGAATATTAGATATTACATAAATACTATACTTTTTAAGCTTTAAAAATATTAGTGATGTCATTATTCTTCAGTGAAGCCAGCCTATAACACAGCTTTGCCCAAGTAAAACTACAGTTAAAGGCATCTAGACTAAGGCAAAAGAACAGGAAGTTTAGTGATGCTGCAGGAAGAGGGAAGGCTTTCCCAGTACTTCTCCCTGTACCATAAATTTTGACTCCATTAAGATTTTATCCTGGGCTTTCCTTTCTTCTCATTCTACCCATACCTTAACTTCAATTCCTCCTCACATTCTGACAACTCTCAACTCTACATCTCTCAAGTCCAGATCTCCCCTTGATCTCCATACTTGCATGTTATCTCACCCTATTGGACATCTCCTCATGAATATTCTGCAACCACCAAAAGCTAACACTCCCACACATGAACTCCTTGCATATACTCTTCTCACCTACTTCTCAACTCCCCAACTTGCTTTTCCTCCTTCTCTGTATTTTTTCCGGTTTCAGCGAAAAACAAATAATGATTCCCTTTATTAGATGTAATTCTAGATATTTCTACTTCCTCTATCATGTCCTTCATCATGTTGCATCTAATCAGTCAATCACTAATTATTTATTATACCTTCTAAATAGTTCTTGATTCCAATCTTTTCTCTCTCTCTCCATTGTCTTTACTCTAGTTAAAATCATTACTATATCTTACCTCAAATATGCTATCAGTTTCTTCACTGGCATTTTACTCTGCCACATCCCACCTGTAAAGCAGCTGCAATGTGTTCTCTCAATAACGAATTGGGGCTTCCTGTCTAAAATTCTCTAGTGATTCTTTACTGTCCTTCAAATAAAAGCTCTATTCTTTTTTTTTTTTTTTTTTTTTTGAGATGGAGGCGGAGTCTCTCTCTGTCACCCAGACTGGAGTGCAGTGGCACAATCTCTGCTCACTGCAACCTCTGCCTCCCTGGTTCAAGTGATTCTCCTGCCTCAGCCTCTCAAGTAGCTGGGATTACAGGTACCTGCCACCATGCCTGGCGAATTTTTGTATTTTTAGTAGAGACAGGGTTTCACCAATTTGCCCAGGCTGGTCTCAAACTCCTGACCTAAGATGATCCACCCACCTCGGCCTCCCTAAGTGCTGGGATTATAGGCGTGAGACATTGCGCGCAGCCAAAAGCTTTATCCTTAATGTGGCTTAAAAGTCCCTTCATAATATAAGTCCTGCTGGTGTCTTTTACTCCCTGCTCTAGCTATACAGAAATTTTATTTTTTATTTCCCAACCTACACTGTGGCCCTCTTGATTCTTGGCCTTAAACATGTTGTTCCCTTTTACTGGCATAATCTCAATTCTGACTTCCTTTTATTGGCTAATTTACATTTATCTTCTTAATGTAGTGGACATCTCTTCCAAGTGGCTACCTCTGGCACCTTCTAAGTTCAGGGAGGTAATTCTTGCATGTTCTTTGAATTTTGTATTTTTTTGATTTGACAAGTAAAAATTCTATCAAGTTAGAGCACGTAACATGATGTTTTAATATATGAATATGTTACGGGATGGCTAAATTAAGCTATTTATGCATTCCCTCACATGACATTATGTTCTTTCTTGCACTTTGTATGTGCCATAACATATTTAATCTCCCATTAATGGTCTGCATTTACTTTAGACTATCAACTCTAATGAGTTCAAGGATTACGGCTGTCCTGTTCATTGCTCAATACCAGTTCCTAGAATGAAGCCCAATAGCTTTATTTATGACTGGGTGAAAAGTATAAGGAGAAATTTTAATGAGAAAAACAGAAAACTTTAAATAGTCAAAGACGAAAATGGATTTACAGAAGAAATTGTAAACAAAGGTCACCACTGCTCAGAGATGTATCTTTTGGACAATAAATCTATCTGTTTTTGTATTAAAAGTGTCAGAATGGGGGTGGGACATTATTTGGAGAAAATTTTAATCTCTTTCTATTAAAATTCTGTATCCAAGATTGGTGACCGAGGCTTTGCCCTATATTCCAATTCAAACATAGCTTCCTTTTGTTCTCAGTCAAAATTTCAACTAAAATTTACATCAGGTAATTTACTATTTCAGATAACAGTGTTCAGGGCTATAATCAGAGCCTCTATTGCAGAGGAGACTGGCTGCAGCCTACCCACAGCTCTTCCAAAGAAATGGATCTCTAGTGATAAAATTTCAGCATTGTGACAGGTGGTTGGAGAAAACTTCCAATCACAGCGTGTAATAATTGCCTAGCCAGGTATTAAATTTGGTCCTTCCTCTGGCTAAAGGCAAAAACAGTGTACTCTACAAGGCACATCTGTAGATTTTAATTGTATAGGATGTAATATAGAATAACATTAAACCACATATCTAGCCTCAAAATTCTTTTTAGAAACCTAACTTTTTCTATTCATGAGATTCTATGAGCTGAAAGGAACAGTGTGGCTTAAGAAATGATGGCAGAGTTGACTTCGGGTGGGTTGGCTCTTTTCCTGGCCTGACAGTCAATAAGAGAGGCTGATTTACACAGATTCCTTGATTATCTCAGTCATTGAAAAGACCTCATGTCAATGCAAGCTTGCAGAATTCTTTCAACTAGTCATGGCATAAGCTGCCTTCTATTTCTAAACATCTGATTAGGCGCACCCTGATGGAATGTCAGGCTTATGAATTTTCTGACTTTCTGCCCGCTTGACCTGTGCTGTCTCATTGAATGAAGTTTGTAGAAAGTCTTCAACCATAATCTGATTTTTTGTTGTTGTTCCAGAATACTGTTCCGCTGTTGTTTTAAAATGTTATTTCATGTCTTTAGCTAATCCACTTAGCAGTAAGAGGAATTATATAGCTAGACAGAAACAGCAAATATAAGGAAAGTTAGAAAGACATCTTTTAATAACTGGCGATCAATGACAAAAATATAAAAATAGAAAACAATCCTAGTAATGGTTACCAAGAAAAACACATAATATATTTTAACCCAGTTTTCAATGAAAATTAAAACTAAGTAAAAGTTAACACAAATTAATTATTTTATATCTTTAAAGTACTATGGAAATATAAAATAAGTTTAAGAAAAAGTTTTAAGAGTTTAATGAGTTTTGCTGGCAATGTAAAGTCATCTCTACAATGAATTGACAGTTTCTCACATTTCCATTTTAAAAATAATGTACTAACCTTTGTACCACAATATTACAAACACATAAATCAAAGTGTAGCATGTCTAAGAAACTCTGGAAGAGAAAACTCTGCATGTGAAATAAAAAACCGAATATTGAAACCAAAAAATGTATTTAACATATGAATGCATGCTTTAAAAAGCCAAATTAGAAAAAAAATCATTTAATAATATTTTACAAAAAACACATTCATTAAAGGAGCTAGGTATCCTATACTATACTTATTAAACTCAATACAAAAAGCAATTTTACTGCATTTATGAGGTGATGGGTAAGCTTATGCTTGCAAATGGATTAAGAATGTGGGTGCACTGTTTACAATCATCTCGTAATAAGACACTTTTATTTTTGGTGTTTAAATACTCATCATTGTATTCATCATTGTGATGTAGACATGTAAAACATTTCAATTTCCAGCAGTTTTAAATATTTTCTTCTGAGTAAAGAAGGATTTTTGCCAATGTCAAAATAAAGCCCTCATTTTTATGAGTGATTTTAGTAGTAAATGAACTAACGAAAACTAAATCCCAAATTCCAATTCAAATAAAGCAAAGCAACGACAAAGTCTTGAAGTTTCTGCTTAGGGTAGTGCATTAATTGGCCCCAACCTGACTGTCCGTACCTTGCAGAAAGTAGAGCAATATGGAATATGTTTTATTTTATAGAAAGTGTCTTGGGATAGGAGTCCTGCAAGAGATGTGCTAAAACCAAATCCTACTCAACCTGCCCTTCAGAAACTACAGTGGAGACCCATGAGAGGACATTAATCTCCATTTGACAACCACGCTTCACTTCACAGAGTTTACCAGTCAAGTTTTCTTTCCCAGAGTCTCAACTTCAGTGGACCAAGCAACACTTGCTTCAGTGGATCAAGCAATAGTTCAGTGGTCCAACTATTTCCTTTTAGTGTTTCTTTTTTACCTACTAACAGGTTGCAATTTGTTCAAGTGCCAAGTACTAAGAATACTGGTGGGTGTATATCATTTTTGATAAACTATTTCCTCCTGACCTAACTCTTCTATTTAACTTAAGAGCAAGTGTGAAACTGTCACTATGGATATGAATGCATTGAATTCTATCTGTTGTCTTAGAATTTTGGGTATAGTCTTAAACTGAAAATAACAAGTAATAAGTCTCTCTCATTCTAAGAGATGGAAATAGCAGGGCATAGCAAAGGGCTTACAAAAGAGCTGGGAAAACTGGCCCTGCCTTTGTTGCTCCACCATACCCACTTATACTAAAACTCTCTGAAGGTTTTAGAAAGAATCGGTCTTCTGAATTCATGGCCCAGAGGGAGAGTAGGGATGGCTCCCTCTGTTTATTCCGTAAGGGGGAAAAGAAGATGGTACTTCAACCTTTTTGTCCCATGCAAGTAAGTGGAGCTCCAAGACCACTGATCACAGGGTCTGGGAGTCCAGAGTAGATAGGGATGACACCTAATTACCAACTCTGCTTCTGAAGATGTCTGCTTCAGAAATTATATGCCTACTTGATAGGTAAAAAATGAATGAGAAATGATACAGTGAAGAAGGGGGGCAGCCTGTACTCCCCAGTGCTTGGTGTGGCAAACGTTTCTCAATAGGTCAAGTGAACGTGGAAGAAGACAGCCATGTTTGAGCTATCTACCAGGAACACTCTTTATGGAGCAAGAGTACCTCAGGATCAAGAGGCTTGAAGATGTTTTTATAGAGCATATTTTCCTTCTTAAAGATGGGGAAAACAAAAGAGCTTCTGCAAGACTTCTTAAAGATCCCATACTTGTACCCCAAATAAACCCGAACTTTGTATCTCTGTTACACACACACACACACACACACAAATCATAAACTCAAAGCTACAAATAGCTAGTTAACAGGAGACATTTGCCTATTTTCCTTAACTCCTACTTCCCAAGACATTGGAGAATAATATAACTGAAGTGCAGTTAAAAAAAAAAAAAAGAAAAAGAGGCAGTGGAGGTGTAAGATGGAATCTAACCACACTTGCCTTCCAGAGAAAGTCTTTTAGACCATGGCTTAAGCTTGAGCTGGAAACAAGGAAGCATATTAAATTAAATATGACATTGAGATTTTAAGCTGAACCCAATTAGATTTAAGTCTTTATTACCTCAGAGGCCAGAAAGCAAAGGGATCTATTCATGGCGCCATCTACCTGGATGATGTAAAAGCATTTCATGTTTCTGATCTATCTGGCTGAAACTACGCATCAAACTACTAACACAGTCCACGAATTCAGCACTTACTCAAATAAAGCAAAGGCAAAGGAGAATGATAGACATCCAGATCATCTAGAATGTGGTCCAGCAGAAGACAGAAAATGGTTTACGGGAGGTCTGAAGAGATAAAGAACTTAAGAAATATCTGTGAAAAATGGAGCATTATAGTAGTATCACATGATTGAAAAGCTAAGATAGATATGTTGATGCTTTTGTCTCATGCAACTGCAAGTTGCATGTTTTATATCCGTCTACCAACATACATGAATATAAATAATCCACGTGAAAACTATTGCTCCTGTCAAATGCAACAACTTGCCTACTGATTGGTAACTTTGCTGAACAACCAATTTAAATTCCTGAAGCATAATTCTAAGGTCTTTAAAGAAGCATGCCATAAAAGTATCAGGAATTATTTAAGGACCACTAAGAATGTTCTATTTGTCTCAGAAATTGGTTCTTACAATTTTTAGTTGTTTAGAACCGGCAAGATGACAGCCTTAAAGAAGTTGACACTTCAGGAGATCGAAACCATCCTGGCTGACACGGTGAAACCCTGTTTCTACTAAAAATACAAAAAATTAGCCTGGCATGGTGGCAGGCGCCTGTAGTCCCAGCTACGCAGGAGGCTGAGGCAGGAGAATGGTGTGAACCCGGGAGGTAGAGCTGGCAGTGAGCTGAGATCGTGCCATTGCACTACAGTCTGGGTGACAGAGTGAGACTCTGTCTCAAAAAAAAAAAAAAAAAAAAAAAAAAGAAGCTGACACTTGAAGCACACATTGTATTGTACACTTGAAAAATCTTTGAGATTGATTAGATAGGAACACTTTATTTTCCATAATTTCATATGGTGTTAAGTAATAGATCCTTTAAAAGTTATACAAAAATTTCCAGATGTCTAGATATGCTTATACCAGCTTAATGAAATGTTTTCCAAAAAGAATAGAGTTAGGATTTTGAAAAGGGAATTAAATGGAGATTAAGAGAAAAGCAGAGGGAGAAGAGGATAATTTACAACAGAAGAAATAATTTACCAATGCTCATAGCTCATCACAAGATTCACTTTGTTGCTTTCTTTGTTTTCAAATTAGTTCATCCTATTTTTTCCTAAAGAAAGGAGGTCTCACACTGTGTTCCTTGGACAAGAAAGACTAAGTAAATTAAAACCATGTTGCTTTAACCCACTTTAAATATAACTCTTGTGAGGGGCTTTGGTACAGTGGTTTTTCCTGTGGCATATTTGTTAATGTATTTAATAGGGATATAGGCGGTAAATAATTACAAAGATGTGTACATGTCTGCATATATATCCTTTAAATATAAAATAAAGAAGGTTACATTATTCACGAAAGGCTTCTAGATTTATGTTTTGTTAATGTCACTAGGTTTGAACACACCTGGGAGAAAACTCAAAAGCCGTGAGCATGGAGCTCCTATAATTTTCTTTACCAGGAAAGAATATAAATGTGAAAACTCTTGGTGTCATGGTTAATAGGAACTTCACCTGTTTTAGGTTTTAGCAGGTTACTGAAGTTCTTCTGTGACCTCTGAAGGAAGCATACTTGAAAGTAACGTTTGGGAATCATTTTATCAATGGAACTTGACATCAGATAGCCATCACTTTCAAGTAAAGCATTGAGCATTGATAGAATGGTCAATGAGCTATAGAGTAATATATCTAAGACATTTCTGGATTCTTGCTGCATCCATTTATCCTCATGGGTAGACAAGTGAAATTGGTCTTCTGCCCTGACAGGAGCAAACTGATGCTTTATTTAAGCTTCAAAAAGAAAGTGAATGAAGCATTATTCAGTAAACATAAAATAAGTCTACAGGATTCATCATATCCAAGCTTTCTCAAGGTACCTTCAGGAGCCACCCTAAGTCAGTGAAATTTTTCCGGCCCAATGGCGAGGTACTCTTTGACTGCACATGTGTTCATATTATTAAAGTCTAAACTTTAGGCAGTGAATAATTTATTGATACAGGAAATAATTAAAATATTTAAGTCGCTGTCTCCTGATATGGAATAGTGAGACAGAATCAGATTCTAGGGATGACTTGGTCAGCATTGAGACCACATGTTCAAGCAAAATATAAAGTTTATACATGAGACAAAAGTCCAAATCTGGGGATAAAATCAAGTTGGAAAAGATGAGAAGTCAAAATTAGAAAAAATGTAGCTGGTGCTTCTAAGCCAAGTGGTATAGGTTAATTAGCCAAATACAGAAGTACCCAAGTGAGAGAGAGCATACTGAGGCCAATTACAGATAGGTTGGTGGTTGTGAGCAAACTAGTCCTTACAATGTAGATGAACTAGCCAGTTGATAGTCCTCTTAAATAAGGTCAGTGATATCCAGTCAGTACAGTAGTGTGACAAAGATCTCAGAGTGAAAGAACTTTGGAACTCGTTAGTCCCTCTACTTAGGAATTCAGACTCTCAGGAAAGAAACTCAACACAGCATCTCTGGCTTTCTGGACTTAATATGATGTATGGGAAGCAAATTCATCACACTTCCTTTTATAGACCAGGTAAGGATGGCCACACAGGTTGCCTATGAATAAAATAGTTTCCAATCTTCAGTCAAGCAGTGTGAAATACAGCCTTGATAACTAGAAATGGTGCTTTTCTGATGTGCATTAGAGATCTCTGCTGGATTCCTTCTACTGTGATGTAGGCTCATAATACTCTAAGGCCAGTGTTCAGGTTCTCTTGGACTACAGTGCCATGGATTTTGCCGGCCTCTGTGGTCAACTGTAATTCATATTGGTTCGAACTTGAAATTGTATCTGAGCAACTGGAAAAATGCTCCTCTCTCCTGGGATGTCTGGGACGACTGGTCCTTTTTCATCCTACCCAATTACATGAAGATTAACAATATTTATTTATCACAAATACTCCAGATGATTGTCATGGCTCTGGAGAAGTTGATGTGCAAGGCACAGTATGCTTATGGCTTCCTGTCATCTTACTTATCCACACTACATTGAAAAAGTCCTCAGGTCTAGCTCAGTCAGTATCTACATTATTGTGTCCTAAGGTTATTACAAGGTTTTCTAATATTTTGTCCTCCAAGTTGTTAGGATAGACAAGACTGCAGTTTTGTAGAAAAGAACTCCTACCAGGATCTTTGGCTCTGATATGATTCATTTGGATGGGATGTGCACCTTGAACAGCAGGAACATGGTGTATGGAACAGCTGCTTTTCCTTCTGCTTTCGAAACATTCTGTATAGTGCTTTAGGAGTAGGTTGGGAGTGCAGAAAGATGACTCGTGTGTTTATATGAGCATAGGGAACAGATAAACACTGGCAGAATGATGCATTACAATCGATTCCTTGTTACAGACTAGGGTCATCTGCCACAAAATGTTCTTACAATACATTAAGCTTGCTGAAATAGAAATAAACTGGTTCCAAACTTCCTCTCTTCTCTATGTCCTCACCCCACAATGGCATCTTCTCATCGTCTATAGATGAAACCCATCGTGCTGGAATTATTTGGCATGGGAGAAGAATAAACAGGTTTCCGGTGTGACGCTTTAACTTGTAGGATTGTTAAACTTGTCATACCTCAGATATAGCTGAAGATTAAGATGTGGACAATGCCTACAGCCATGCAGGACTGCTTAGCATCTTCCCCACAGGAAGTATCTGTTCCGTCAACATTGTGGTTCGGGTGAGGGAGAGAGGTAATATATAATGAGGATCCTAGTGATGCCCTTTCCGTGTCATCAAAAATCTGCTGCAGTTTCCTAGAAAGCGTTCATTCTACTTCAGCAGGGAACTATGGCTGTGAAGGAAAACCACTTTTTCCTCTGCTTGGTTTAGTTGTTGAGGAATTGGAAAGGAGCTTCATTTCTGGAATACAGAGATCATCTATCTGTCATGAGCAGTGGTTGGGCAAGAATAAATTACTGGTCCACAGTGGGAATGAACCTGACACATAATGCACCTTAGCAAAGTGCACCTTATACATGTGCTGATAAAGGTCTATCTAGACTGGGGTTCACAAACCTGAATAATCATCAGAATGAACTTTTCCAAATACAGTTCTCAGCCTCAATTAAAATCTACTAAATTAGAAAATCAGAGGGAGTCAAAAGTGGGTATGTGTACACCAAAGTCCCTATATTCTTCTATCTGTGTAATTTTGGTGATGAGCTGAAATTGAGAAGGTCTATGAAGACCGAAGTTAGAAAGAAAAGATGTCTTAAATAACAACAACGAAAAATAACAGGTAAGAAAATGCAATCAGTTGGGCTTACAGCAAAAAAGAGCGAACAGTAGAGTGCTATGAAATTGGTATTAATGCTGGTCAGAATATACGAAACATAGTGAGGTAGAAACAGTAAGGAAATTCTCCAATTTTCTTTGATACTTTCAATGAAAAATTACTAATAAATATATGCATTTTATGATTTAAAAGACAGCATGATGAACTTGAAAAATATTTTTATTCCTCATTCCATCTAGGGACACTGGAATACACTGCAAAGAAATGTTGTTTAACATTCCCTTTTCCATTTATCATTTTTTTTAAAAAAATAAACATTTTCAGAAATTTGGCCTGAATATTAAATAACAGATTTGATTATTCAATCTCAAGAATCTATGAAGTAGCTTGCAAAGAAAACGGTTTTAAAAAGTTGAGAGTGGTAAAACGTAAGATGAAAGAGAGAGATGAATATGTACCCTCAGAACAGTATTGTGTGTTATAGAAATTAAGTATTAGTTGTCAATCATCATAGATAATTAAAGTTATTGACAAGTTTCATTAACATAAAGATATAAACTCGAGGAATTTTTCTGAAAAGGTACATTGATAAACTTAAAAGAGAAACTTCAATCCAAAAATTTATCACTAAAATGCTACTTTATCAATCCATACTACTGATTTAGCTTTTACAACTGATTAGTTTTTCGGCCTTAATGGTTTTCCTTTATGTATTAACTCCCTCTTTTGTTATTCCAACTTTATTATTCTTTTTTTTTTTTTTTGGTAGGCCCTTGTAGAAAAGCTATTCCAACTTCAGAAGAAATAACTCAACTATCAAATTATGAGATATTTGAAGACAAGATACCATTAAATGGATATGTTAACACTCATTCACAAAGATATTAATGCCCTCCAAGAGCAAACATAATTTGTCTAGAGTGAATATTAAATACTTAAATATTAATCATATATTGAAATGCAGTACATGATTATATGTATACATATGTGCTTATATACATGTATATATAAATACATGCAAGTATATATATGTGTTTGTGTGTCCCTTTGTGTCTGGACCCCAAAAATGCTAATATTCTATAATAGGCATACAGACGAACAAAAACATTTAACTACTGTTTTATATAATATTTCGGAAAAGTAAATATGACTGTCCAAGGAAACATTATTGATTGAAGTAGGGTAAATTATATCTAAAAATAATGGAATTACTACTTACAAAGAAAAAATCCATGATTCATGGTGATTAAAATAAGAATTAAACACATTCACCACAGACCCTTTTGTGAAGGCTATGTACTCTTTCAGTTCCTGTAGCTATAAAATAGAGGGTAACTACATTTAAAATACAAGATGTATTTTAAAATATTATTAAAAACAAGAATCAAGGTAACTCACACAATTGATGGTAGGACAAGAAAAATCCCTTTCTCAAATAACAAAAGAAGATACATGAAATAGAGAAGGAAAAATTTCTAATTTACAAAGAAAATAGCATACACATTCATGTCTATTTTTCTTACATTAAAGAGGTCTGGGCTATTGAGTTTATTATCTATGTGTAAATATTACACAAGTGGGTTTCTTCCCCTCAAAATGTAATCACTCTTGACCATTTATTCAATTAATATTATTATGAGAACAAGTTGCATAGTCCACCACTCAGCTGAAAATTGCAGTCACCTTGAACACAGAGGTCTGCCATAATAGTCTGCTTGCAGTGCAATTTTTATATAAAGACAAAGGTTTTTTGCAGAGCATTCAACCTAGGAGAAGTCAAGATTCAAGATATCCAATATCCTTTTTACTACTTAAGGAAAGAAAGCCCTGAATTCAAAGTATGGAAAGATGTAAACCTAGAAGCTATATCCATTATTAACACACTAAGAATAAGATTAAATTTCACCTTTCTAAATATTAAAGCATTTATTGTTAATTAATTATCCTCAATGAAATATTTTCAAGTAATGATAATCTATAAAAGTGAGCCTAAATTGTTAACTCCCAAACCTTATCAAAAGCATTTCAGGTGTACAAATAACCAAATGTATAAGATGACACCCGAAATTGGCTTCAAAGCCATGCAACCTGTGCAGTTATGCAGTAACTCATGCTTAGGAGAGCCCATGCTTGGTTTAATGCTCTGCTGTTGCCATCTTACAATGCTTAATTTTTGAGTATGGGACCCAGTATTTTCTTTCTTCCCTGAGTCCCCCAAATTATGGAGCCGATCCTGACATTTTGGGAAAAACAGCCAACAGCTAAAAGACTGACATAAAAATCTGAATTAAATTGGTTAAGTTAGAGAGATTGTAAAAAAAAAAAAAAAAATACATGAAATTCACATTTGACATACTGGCGGTAACCAGATGAATGACTTGCAAATATGAATATAGTTGGAAGAAGATACTTCAGACTAGAATCCTAGTTGTTTCAGAATATAATCAAATACAACCTGGAGATGCTAATCAAAGATAACGCAAAGAAAAATCCCTTCGCTTTTGATTTTCTATGCGGCTGTATGTGTGTGGTTCTAAATAAAATTATTTTGCAGAAAATTACGGGAGAAAGTCAGATAACTGATTATTTCCATTGCGAATAACTTCATTGGCTACTACTGAGTCCACGATATTATTCTCTAACACTTCTCCTGATTTTAAACGAATCTTTAAAACAAAAGAGCTCCTATTCCAAATACTTTTCACTCTCATTTCCTCAATGACACCAGTTCTCCTTTCTCCCAACCCCCTTTACCGTGCAGAGTCCTAAACAACCTGAAAACAGAGTTACCTACTTCTCAGGGATAAATTTATCCTTGGTGGATAAACTTTCTCAAACTTACTACTCTCCACCTCAGAACCTCCTTGTATTATCTCAATTTTCTCTTTCCCACTTCCAAAGTCAATCCTTCCATTTTTTTTGCTCGTGTATCCTATCTTGTAAGACTTTGCTCTTATATATTATGTCTTTCTATTGGATCTTCCCTTATACTACAAACATGCTTAAATTTTTATTATCCTGAAAATCAACAACACATCTTTTCTGCCCTATTACTATTCAATTTCAGTTACTGGCCTTTCTTTCTCATTTTTTCATCATCACAGATTTATTGTCTCTATTTGCCCTGCTCATTTTCTCTTTTACCAAATCTTAATCTCACAGTTGTTCCTCCTCACTTTGGAACACAGAGACTATATTTAATGAGAGAAGGAGCAAAGAAATACAGCTAGTGGAGGCATCATGTTAGCTGACTTCAAACTATACTACAGTGCTACAGTAACCAAAACAACACAGTACTGGTACAAAAACAGTCACATAGACCAATGAAACAGAATGGAAAGCCCAGAAATAATGCCACACACCTATACCCTTCTGATCTTCGACAAAGCCGACAAAAGCAAGCAATGAGGAAAGGACTCCCTATTCCATAAATGGTGCTGGGATAACTGGCTAACCGTATACAGAAGAATAAAACCTTACACCATATACAAAAATCAACTCAAGATGAATGAAAGACTTAAAATGTCAAAGCAAAACTTTAAAAACCCTGGAGGATAACCTAGGCAATACCATCCTGGACATAGGAATGGGAAAAGATGTAATGATGATGTCAAAAGCAATTGCAACAAAAGCAAACACTGACAAATGAGACCTAATTAAATTACACAACTTCCTCACAGAGTTCCTCTGTTGAACTCTGTCAACAGAGTAAACAGACAAACTACAGAACGGGAGAAATATTTTGCAAACTGTGAATCTGATAAAGGTTTAACATCCAGAATCTCTAAGTAACTTAAACAAATTTATTTTAAAAACTCTACTCCATTAAAAATGGGCAAAGGACATGAACACACATTTTTCACAAGACGACACACATGTGGCCAACAATATGAAAAAAAATGCTCAATATCACCAACCATTAGAGAAGTGCACATTAAAACCACGATAAGATGCCATCTCGCACCAGTCAAAATGGCTATTATTAAAATGTCAAAAAATAACAGATGCTGTTGGGATGGCAGAGAAAACAGAACATTTATACACTGCTGGTGGGGGTGTAAATTAGTTGAGCCCTTGTGGAAAGCAGTTTGGCAGAGCTAAAAACAGAACACAGCAACCCCATTACCGGGTGTATAGCCAAAGGAATACAAATTGTTCTACCACAAAGACACATGCACACATATGTTCATTGCAACACTATTCACAATAGCAAAGATACAGAATCAACCTAAATGCCCTCCATGGTAGACTAGATAAAGAAAATGTGGTGCATATACACCATGGAACACTACGCAGCCACAAAAAGAAGGAGTTCGTGTCCTTTGCAGGAACATGGAGGGAGCTGGAGACCATTCTACTTAGCAAACTAATGCAGGAACAGACAACTAAATATCACATGTTCTCACTTATAAGTGGGAGCTAAATAATGAGAATACATGGACACAATGAGGGAACAGACACTGGGTCCTACTTGAGGATAGAGAATGGGAGGAAGGGGAGGATCAGAAAAAATACCTATCAGGTAGTATGCTTATTACCTGGGTGATGAAATAATCTGTACACCAACCCCCCATGACACACTGTTTACCTGTATAACAAACCTGCATATATACCCAGAACATAAAAGTAAAACAACAGCTAGATCTGTTGAGACCATCTTTCAGATCTGCTAAGAGAAAGGCTGGTAAAGAAAGACAAGAATCAAAGTTCATTTTAAAAGTTTTGGTATGAGAAATTTCAGGAATGAGATGGCATTAACAGAGGTGGAGAAAACGGTGTTGGGTAGCTTTGATAGGAGCTGTCATCTGAGTATGTTAAGTTTGAGTAGCCTATGAGATATCCAAAGAGAAAAATACACAATAGAAGGCTGGATATATGGTCTGAAGTTAAGGGCAAAAGTCTGTGCCAGAGATAATATTTTGGGAATAATTAGCATGTAAATTTTATTTAAAGCCATGACACTGCATAAAGTATTATAAAGAGTGAATATAGAAAGGAAAGGGAGAACATTAAGCTTAAACACTGTTTCATACACACTTGGATCCAGTTGGCCAATAATTTGTTTCAGAACTTTTCCTTATTAATTTATGACTGAAATTGGCATGGGGTTTTCCTTCCTGTTTCATTTTTGTCTGATTTTGGTAAAAAAAAAAAAAAATTTTCTAACCTTATATTTTCCAGACATGTATATTGCCTTGTATGTTCTACTGAGTTTGTTGATGACTGGAATTATCTATTCCTAGAAAGTGTGTTCAAATTTGAATGTAAAATAATTTCAGTCTAATATAGTCTTTGTAGGAAGACTTTTAATTTGTGATTAAATTTCTGTCTCCTCAGGCTTTCTATATCCCCTTCCATCATTTTTGTAGCAATATTCTCCTAGAAATTCATCCATTTCATGTAAGTTTCTAAACTTATTTGCATAGCTTTTAGTATTTTCTGTATTTTAAAAATATATTATAACTGTAGTTATAACATTTTCATCCTTAAGATTTTATATTTGTTTTTACTTCCCTCTCAGTTGATTTGTCTAATTAAAACATGAATATGGGCATTTAAATTTTATTGATTCCATGTTGTTTTTATTTATTTCTGCTCTTGAATTCTTCTCTTTCCATTTACTTTCTCTGCATTTATTATACTTTTCCCTATTTTCTTGAGATGGGCAGTTAGCTCACTAGTTTTCAGCCCTTCCGTCTCTTCTACAAAAATTAACAGGAACCAATTAGTTTTAATTTTTATTTTTATTATCACTCGGTTCTATGAATTTTAACCATCCATTTTGAATTCATCTTTGATCCACAAATTATTTACTTTAGTCAAGTTTTTACTATTGATTCTAGCTTGTTACAAATTTAAGAGTATTTCCCTAATAATACCAAATATGTGAAATGTATTGACATTTCCATGTACTTCAGATGAAATTTACACTCTGATTTGGGGTTCTCTATACAGTCTTTATATCCACCTTATCAACTGTTAATCATCACTATCTTCACTAACTTTTGTCTGGTGTCTTGAAAGAAAGAGGCATTATGAAATCTCCCACCATGCTGATATAGTTGTGTATTTCTTCTTGTTATTCTGTGGATTTTTGCTTTACGTGTTTTAAAGGTATTTTCCCAGGTATGTACGAGATTTTTTTGTTTCTTTTGACAGAGTCTCACTCCGTAACCCAGGCTGGAGTGGAGACTGCAATCTCAGCTCACTGCAACCTCTGCCTCCCAGATTCAAGCAATTCTCCCACCTCAGCCTCCCAAGCAGCTGGGACTACAGGCGTGCACCACCACAGCTGGTTAATTTTTGTATTTTTAGCAGAGACGGGGTTTCACCATGCTGCCCAGATTGGTCTCGAACTCCTGACCTCAGGTGAGCCACCCACCTCGGCCTCTCAAAGTGCTGGGATTAGAGGCGTGAGCCACCATGCCCGGCCAGGTATGTACAAGTTTTAGAACTGTTATATTTTACTCCATTTTTTGCCTAATAATGATAATGACCATAATGTCTATTTTGCTGGAAATAAATTAGGTGTCTAAGCTTTTTATTGATTAATCCTTTTCGGAAAATCTGTTTCCATTTTCGATATATGTGTCTTTATGTATTTCTTAAAAACAATGTATTTTGAATTTTGATGCTTTATTCTGAAAATTTCTACATTTATATATTAAATGTATTGAGCAAATAGTTCTAGGACTACAGATGTATTTTTTTTTTCTTTTTCTTTTCTTTCCTTTTTTTTTTTTTTTTTTGAGGCAGAGTTTTGCTCTTTCACCCAGTCTGGAGTGAAATGGCATGATCTCAGCTCACTGCAACTTCCGTTCCCTGGGTTCAAGTGATTCTCCTGTCTCAGCCTCCCGAGTAGTTGGGATTATAGGCACCCACCACCAAGCCTGGATACTTTTTTTTGGGTTTTTTTTTTTTTTTTTTTTTTTTGTATTTGTGGTAGAGACCAGGTATCACCTTGTTGGCAGCCTGGTCTGCCTGCCTTGGCCTCCCAAAGTGCTGGGATTAAGGCATGAGCTACCACGCCCGGCCGCTGGTATTTTTCTACCATCTATTTTTTTCTATTTCTATTTTTCTACCATCTTTTCTTTTATTTTATGCTCATCTCACATTTTTCTGTTTTGTTTTCCTTCTTTCTTGCTTTACTGCGTACTGATTGAGAACTGTTCCTTTTATCATTCTTTGATTGTTTCCCAGGTGGATGCTCCATTAGTGGTTATCCTTGACAATTTATTACAGCATAAAGTCGACATTTAATCACTATCTCTACCCTCTTTCTAAATAAAAGGGCTTGTGGCTGTAACTCCCCTCCATATTGTTTTTAATCTAGTATTTTAGATCAACATTATTTTAAATGAAATTAGATATTCTTATATATTTTTTGCAACAAATGCCTTTTGTATTTAAAAGCTTAACTATTTTTTCATCATACTTATTGCATCTAAAACCTTTAAAACTTATTTTTCTACTACTTCTAATTCTTCATACTTATTTTAGACATTTTTATAGTAAGGGTCTATTGGGGTAAAATTTCACTTTTTTTTCACTCTGATAATGTCTAATTTCCTCTTACTCTGAAGAACTAATTTTGTTGAGTTCAGAATTCTAGGTTGACGGTAATTTTTTCAATATCTTGAAAATATTTTCCATTGCTTTTTTATTCTTATTCATTGTTGTAGATAAGAAGTCTAATGACAGCCTAAATTTAATTGCTTTGTAGGTTATCCATCTCACCTCTAGCTGCTAATATAAATTTGTCTTTGGATTTCTGCACTTTCACTGTGATATGTCTGAGATTGGATTTCTATTTATTTACTTTGCCTGTTATATAATGTGCTTTCTGTTTAAGTGGTTTATGTCACTGGCTCTTGGAAACTTTCCTTTAATATCCTTCATATATTACTCCATCTCC
Source organism: Homo sapiens (assembly GCF_000001405.40). Classification (NCBI taxonomy): domain Eukaryota; kingdom Metazoa; phylum Chordata; class Mammalia; order Primates; family Hominidae; genus Homo; species Homo sapiens. The sequence goes on from NC_000023.11 coordinate 32,430,394, forward strand.
ATTTCTCAAAAAAATTATGACATACAAGAAAGCTGTATATAATTAACATACACAAGTTGCTGAGTTTGGAGATAAATATACACTGATAAAAACATTACCTCAATCTATGACATAAACCTATTCATCATCTCCAAAACTTTCCTCCTATTCTAATATTATTATTATTCTGTAACAGAACACTTAACATAAGGTCTATCCTCTTAGCAAAGTTTAAGTAAATAGACTAACTATAGGCAATATGCTTTACAGTAGATCTCTAGGAATTATCTATATTGTATAACCTAAACATTGTACCCTTTTACAAATATCTCTCCATTTTTCCCTTCCCCTAGCCCCTGGCAGGAAGCATTCCACATTCTCCTTCCATTAGTTTGACTGTATTAGATTCATAATATGATTGGGATCATGTATTATTTGTCTTTCTATGTCTGGCTTACTTCATGTAGCATAATGTCCTCCAGGTTTATCCATGTTGTTACAGCGAAATGGTAGGATTTGCTTATTTTTTAAGGGCTGAATAATATTTCATTGTATGTATATATCACATTTTCTTTTTCCTTTCACCTGTCAATGGACATTTAGGTTGTCTCTATATCTTTGCTATTGTAAATAATGCTGCAATAAACAATAGAGTGCAGATAATCTCCTTGTGATTCTCATTCAATTTCCTTTGGATATATCCCTAGAAGTGGAATTGCTGGATCATATAGTAATTCTATTTTTAATTTTTTTTTTGAGGAATCTCCATACTGTTTTCCATAGTGTCAGCATGAATTAACATTCCTGCCATCAGGGTACAAGGGGCCCTTTTCTCCACATTCTTGCCAAACTTGTCATCTCTTGATTTTCTTTTTAAGTAACTGCCATTCTAACAGATGTGAAGACATATATCATTGTGGTTTTGATTTACATAGCCCTGATGATTAATGAGTTTGAGCACCTTTTCATATATATGTTGGCCATATGTAGGTCTTCATTGAAGAAATGCCTTTTGAGCTCAACTGCTCATTTTTAAATTGGGTTATATAATTTTTTTATATTGAATAATAATAATCTCCATTTTCTTTATTCTCCTCTTTGAAAACTCCCATTGAGATAAGTTATATGTTCATATTCTACTCCCCACCCCTGTATCTATTACCTATTGTTCACATCTTCCACCTCCTTAGTTTTTGGTAACACAGTCTGTACATTCTCTTTTAGTTTTCTTTTAAATCATTTCTTTCAACTAATATGTTTATATATGATATATTCATTTTCTAATTTTTAATTGTAGTTGTTTAATTTTGATTTCTTTATTCCATTTTTACAATGTTTTCTTTTTTATAACTTCAATAACATTTATTTCTATAATATTTTACCTATTTATTTTATACTATACATCTTGCAATTCTAATATCCGGAATTCTAGAAGTAAACTCACCGTTCGTTGTATAGGCTGACTGTGCTTCATGAGGGCTTTTCTTGTGCGTGTGAGTGAGTGTGTGTATGTCTATGTGTTTATGATGAGCTCAAGTTCCCCTGAGTTTAATCTGTGAGGACACTGAGGGCACTTTTCATGGTAAACAATTTGCATTTGCTTCTAACTAATGCTAGGACGCTCCTAACCTGGTGCTACCCTGACTTAATCACTTGTTTGGATATTTCTTTACCCTTTGTGATAATATACACTCAAGAGTTCCTCACCTTACAAGAATAGGCCAACACACATTTTCAGGTGACATTATTATAATTATTCTATTACTTTGCACTCACAGTGAGAAGACAGATGTCTTTTTATGTTTGTTCTCTCTGCAGATAGAATTCTCTCTGCCCATTATCTTACTGATAGAACCCCAGTTTTATGTGGAATCTGTGTTTAGCTCCACCATTTTCGTGAGCCAGAGGATCATATTTCTTTTCCATCAAATGACTTAATTCACCTAAAATTGGGGTTCCCAGTCTTAGCTTTTATCTCCACCATACAAATGTCAGTGGTCATAGGCATGTTACGGCATGACTTCAGTTTCATCTGATTTTTTTCCTAGCCTTTAAAGGTTTACTTATACTTCTTTGAAAGCAACATAAAATACAACTACTAGACATTTTCCAGCATCCTAGTGCTTTCCAGAGGGCATTACAGAAGACTTAGCTGTCCTAGCCCTTGAGAACAGAAGTCAGCCCTATCACAACAACTGTGAAGTAAGCTAATCAAATCTATTTCATAAAGCAAATGTGGGATTTAAGTTTGATGTTGCTTCTAACGGCTTAGCAAAAGGACTGACGTAAAACTGTGCTCAAAAAGTAATGGCTTTTACTATTATTATAGACAGATATTGTCTACAAAACATATTGACAAATTAATAAAGCATAATATGCCACTTATTTTCCTAGATTACTTTATAGTCTTCCTTCAAGCAATGTTCTTCCGTTCTGGTCTATCTATGCTAAGGTAGATGTGACACTGAGGGAAAAATTCAAAGTCATAATTACCAGGAAAAATTAATACGGCCCTCTCTGAGTCTATCATAAATGTTACTATTACAGAAGAATTAACCAATTTAGATTTTGTCCCTTTCAGTAAATTTGCTATTTCATGTCAGGCATAACAACTTACAGACATCTTTGAAAGGGACTGAAATACGGGCATTAATAAGCCACGAAAGAGGTGAAATAATCACTCATCAAGAGAAGTGGTAAAGGCTTTGGACTTCTCAATGTGTGACTTTAATATTTAAGACTCTAAATTTTATTTTAATTAGTCAGCCATAATACTTTTAAGGCCATGTTTTAAGCTTTCCTTAAAAACGGGGAAACTCGTTAATTGCCATATTCACTTATTAGCAGAGTTTTTATTTTTAATATATGAAAAGGGTCACAGAGATTGGAGGTAGTGTAGCCAAATGGTCACGTGCCTAGGCTTCAAGTGTAAAGAGATGGGTCTAAATGCTCAATAGCTTTTTCCTAGGGCCTTTAATATCCTTTCAATTTCTGTAGAATGGGAATATGAAAAACCATATATCGGCCGGATGCGGTGGCTCACGCCTGTAATTCAAGCACTTTGGGAGGCCGAGGCGGGCGGATAACCTGAGGTCAGGTGTTTGAGGCCAGCCTGGCCAACATGGTGAAGCTCCATCTCTACTAAAAATACAAAAATTAGCCTGGCGTAGTGGCATGTGCCAGTAATCCCAGCTACTCGGGAGGCTGAGGCAAGATAATCGCTTGAACCCGGGAGGAGGAGGTTGCAGTGAGCTGAGATTGCACCCTTGTACTCTAGCCTGGGCAACAGGGAAAGACTCCATCTCAAAAAAAGAAAAAACAAAAACAAAAACCACCATGTATCATAAGGCTATTGTGAGAACTAAATGAGAAAATGCATATCTGACAATTAAAAGGGTACCTGAGCCTCTGTAACCAAATACTATTACCAATATTATTATTCATTTTGTTGTATTACTAAATCATCTTCTGCTGCTTGGTTACCCTGTTAGAGAATAAAGCTATTACAATAGTTGTAAAAATGATATGATTTGGTACGTCTGTTGGAGATGTTGCCTGGTTTGCTAACCATCTTTCAAATCATTACTGTGAGTAGAAAATATAGTGCTATATGATTATCAAGAATGAAAGATGCCTTTTGAAGTGATGGAAATAATTTATTACTTATTTGAATGCAAACTCACACTCTGAAATTAGGGATGGGATCTAGCAAATCTCTTTTAAATATTCATAGGCAATAAAAGTCTGGCTGTTTGACTGATTTAACAGGCAATTGAATGTTACCTTAGTTCTGCATAATTGCAGCTATAAGAAACATTAGGTAGGTGATATAAAAACCTCACAAACCTCTGACATAGGCACTTAATTGATTTTAAAAAATAGGTTAAGGCTCATCTTCAAATTAAAAGGCACTTTGTTTATTAATAGCAAATCTGGCTGAGGCAGGAGAATTGCTTGAACCCAGGAGGCAGAGGTTGCAGTGAGCCAAGATCGTGCCATTGCACTCCAGCCTGGGCTTCAGGGAGAGACTCTGTCTCAAAAAAATAAAATAAAATAAAAATAGAAAATAACCACAAAATAAAAACTTTTTTGTTTAACCAACCAAAAATCAAGAGAATCATGGCCTAAAACAAATTCAGAATTCTTGATTATAACACATTAATGTACAACAAGAATTTTTTAAATTGATTTAAAAACTCAGTTACTGTAATCATTTTGTTTCTTCAGCCTCTCAGATAATTTATCCCAAGGCTTATTCTACTGCATCGAAACAACAGTCTTTTTAACTAGATAGTGGAAATATCCAAAGGATTGATTTAGCTAATAAATTATTAGGTGTGTCTTTTTTACCTAAGTAGTTTGAAATTGATCAAAGTGCTGAGCAAAGCCTGAGAAATACAAAAGTCCTATTACTACACATTGTTTTAATTTAACATTGTATCTTTCAGGTCTAATCAGCTTATCACAGGCTGATACAACAGAATTTGAGAAGGATATTATGTTTAACATGATGTGGTTTTCATGAAAGCCGTAAAAACTAAATATGCTTTATTTTCATTGTCAAATAACTCCCAGGTTATTACTGGCCAAATATGTAATATAAACACAGCTAGGACTGATAATAGTTTCAAGTTTACTTATTTTAGATTTATTGTTATTTTAACACTCTGCTTAATCATTGAGGTACAAGTGGAGAGCTTCTGATTTTAAGACTTAGAGGGTGATAAAAATCCTTTTTATCTGTCTTCACATTTTATTTAACTAATGGAGGCATGTGCATTTCATTATATTTCATATTGCACTATCTGCATTTATTTACCAATCACTGCCCTCAGTGGGATATATATATATGTATATTTACATATTTTTAAATATATATTTACATATTTTAATATATACTTACATATATATATATATATATATATTTACACCCATACAAACACACACACACAATTTTTGAGGGCTGATACTCTAGAATATCATCTAGTCAAAATAAAAAGGCTGATCATGTATTAAATTTATTGAATAATTTATTGAATATGTACTGTGTTCCTGGAACCATAGTACTTTAAGTGCCGTATTTTATATTTTGCTCACAAAAAAAACCCCCTATGAAACAGGATGAGGAAACGTAAGTTTAAAACTGTTACTCAAAATCACATAGCCAGTGAATTACAGAGGGATTTGCCAGTTATCAATTTTTTGCCTTTCAACATGATCCTGTTTTTGACACGGGAACATTTCTCCCCTTGCCAGCTGACATGATATTAAGTTCTGTCAGTAAAGGATGCTGGAGTGACAATGGGGGAGGTAGAGGTTTGTCTGTCCCAGTGTGCTTTTAATTCTTTTTCAAACCTGTGACTCTGGGCTGGCCTATGGAATGCCCAGTAAGGCTCACCTCATCCACCCCACTTTACCCAGAAGACTTTCAGCAACACTATGGGTCGTGTTTGACAAGTTCTATGGGTACCCAATAAGCAAATTGAGGATGGGTGGCAAATCCATAGGCAGCTTCCTGGAGCCCCACCTCATTTCCTCAAGTTTAGTAGCATCCACTACAGGTAGTTTCCCACCATGTCCAATGAATACACCAGACAGCTTTCTAGCAAATTCAATGGTTCCCCACCATAGGCTACTTCCCTGTGAATTTTGTCAGCATTCCCCTCCAATATTCTCTTCACACTAGCTTCAGCTCACTGGCTATAGACTTGTTCTGGATTGGGTCAATGAAGGAAACTTCTCTGTCATCCCATGGGAGGCAGACACACACTTTCTAAAGAAGTTTGAATCCAGCCTTGGGTTGAGCTCCTATCTTTCCATATTAGTTCCTTGTTTGTGTACTATTCCTCAGGCTTAAGGTATTCTTTAGAGATCTCTTTTATTTCCTATTAAAAATTAATTTCCAGTAAGTAGTTAATACTTATTTGTGTTAAACCATCTCTGTTTAAGTGACTGAGTGGTTTCTGTGCCCTGTCTGGACCCTGACTACTAATACAAGGTGTTATTCTAGCCCAAGTTTCAAGTATTTTCTTATTCAAAAGTTTATGCTTTAAAAACTCAGTCCAGAAAATAAGATAATACGTGTTGAATCAGGGTATGTTGCTGAAATGAATTATTTTTTCTTTGGGGGAAATGTCAGGGTTTATACCAAAAACCTTTAAAATAGAAGGTTATAAGTAGTTTTGTGTTAATAAAGGATTGCAATATAATTACATTAATAGAGTTAATACCAAGATCAAGTTAGAGAGTAAGCTATTCCTAAGGACAGAATAGATGAGTACTGAAAAATGTCAAACACTGAAGTTGGATCTTGGCCAGGTGTATCTCCCAGCACTTTGGGAGGCCAAGGCAAGTGGATAGCTTGAGCCCGGGAGTTCAAGACCAGCCTGGACAACATGGCAAAACAACATTTCCACACACACACACACAAATAACCGGGAGTGGCAGCATGCACCTGTAGTCCCAGCTACTCAGGAGGCTGAGGTGGGAAGATCACCTGAGCCCAGGGAGGTCGAGGCTACAGTGAGCCACGATCATGCCACTGCACTCCAGTCTCAGGGACAGAGCAAGACCCTGTCTTTAAAAAAAAAAAAATTTGAGTCTTTTCACAGCTAAGCCAAGGTCAGTTTCACAATGACTTTTAATTTTTTGATGCAACTGCTGTCTCCTACCTGACACTGATATTCAAATAGAAATAAAAACACATTCCAATTCCATATCACAACCCACATTGAAATGATCTTCAATTTACTTGCCACATAGCAATATCTATTTGACTCAGATCCAGCAATAGTGCAACAATGATGAAGGACCAGAGATTGTTTGGAATTCCCCTTTTCCAATCCCCAATTCCTTATGTTGATTTGGATAAAATATGGATATGCCACCCAGGATTCAAGACTGGAGGTGCTGCTGGTACATTTGCAGATATCTGCCCTACCCTCACATACTTCTCTTCAGAATTGGATAGAGAAGAGGTTTTCCTACTCAAGGCGTTCCTTTTCAATCTGTAAGCATGTCAAAAGGTCCCCGACATTGACTATTCAATAAGTCATTAGTCAATGGTTTCATGCATACTACCCTAGTTACTACCCCCCCTTATTCTCTTTTTTCTCTTCATACGTTATATTATTTGTTTTTATGTCTTGCACATTCTAGGAAATCAGTAACTCTTCCTTAACTAACCAATGTTTTTAAGTTATGAAGGTTAGCAAATTTTTCCTACTCATCAAACCATAGAACCATATCTCACATGTAGTAGATGTACTCAGTAAGTGAATATAAAACTAAACATCATTATAAAATGGGTTTTCTTCTTGACAAATAATCCATTCTTAGGAGATAGTATGCAAAACACTGACTAGGAGAAATTTGCTATTTTGTTTTAGTTTTGATTTGAAAAATCACACCATGTGTGATATATGAAAATTTATCTATAAGAAATGTAGTGTTATTTATGAAGAATAAATAATATGGGGTACTAACAGAATTGCATGTATTATTAGCAGATTACATGTGACATAACAAATGTGTGTGGAATGGAGGGAGAGGAATAAAATGAGACAGCGAGAGAGAAAGGATACCCACACATACTGGTCTATCTTGAGTAAGGAAAAGAACTCTGTGGTCAGAGTAACCTTCTTGGGATGTCTCAGTTGCCTTTTAAGAATCCTAACTTACAATGTTTTTGTGAAATCACATGCTATAATACACATGTAAAGAATTTACCCAGTGTCTGGCATTGGATTGTCTCTGAAACCTGAAAGCTGAGCTAATATTTAAACTATTGCTCATTTTATCTGAGAGGCCTGTATCTGCTATACATTAAT